>NC_000020.11:2339062-2490577 GCF_000001405.40 Homo sapiens | reverse complement strand
GAACAAGAGCAAAACTCCATCTCAAAAAAAAAAACAAAAACCAAAAAAAAGACCCATAAAACAGCAAACAAACAAACAAACACACACACAAACAAATGACCTAGTTCAAATGAATCTTGATATTGAAAACCTGGATCCCAATTGCATTCCTTGAAATCGTTTCCTTTGTCTTGCTTGACACCATAATGTTCCGCAGTCTCCAGCCTCTGACGTCTCTCTTTTGGGCTATTCCCTTCCTTCTTTTTCTTTTCTCTGGGCTGCAGGGGTCCGTAGGAGTCAGTGTCACATACTCCTTTTCTGTGTTTGTATTCACACCATTTAACAATTTGAGAACTTGAATGAGTTTCCCCATCACACATTATAATGAAGCCATTATCTATCGCTGTCTCACCTGTGCTTCATCCCCATCTTTCTCCTTGCCTGCAACCACAAGCTTATTCTCAAAGTTATAAAAACTTGAGAGCATACTGTTTTTCCTCCTAAACCAGTCTCTCTCTTTCTTTCCTCTTTCCATTTTCCCCTTTGTTCGCTTTTTCCCCCTTCCCCTTTCCTTTTCTTTCCTTCTTTTATTTTACTTTATTTCTTTTTTTTTCAGACAGGGTTTTGCCATGTTGTCCAGGCTGGTCTCGAACTCTTGGGCTTAAGCAATCCACCCACCCCAGCCTCCCAGAGTGCTGGGATTGCAGGTGTGAGCCATAGCCCGGCCCGAGTCTCTTTTTCTCTCTTTCTTCACATATTCATGTTAATGTCTTTTCTTCAAGGGCATTGTTAGAAATAATGGGCCAATTCTTTCTGAAATAATCTTTAAAGCCTTCACAGGGGAGACAGTTTAATAAGCTTAGGCCAGATAATACTGTGATAAACAACCCCAATACTTTAGTGGCTTATAATAGCAAATGCTCATTTCTCACATTACCTCTTGGTTACTTCAGGTGTGGTTCAGCTATTTTGGTTCTGGGATCCAAGCAAAAGGAGCAGTTTCTGTCTGGATCATGGGGTTCTCAAGGTAGAGGGAAAAAGAGCAATGATGGGACCACATCCTGGCTCTTAACACTTGTTTGAAAGTGCATTAACTTCCCACTAACCTTCATTGGCCAAAGCAAATCCCACAGCTAAGTCTGATGTCATCGTGGTGGGAAAGAGAATCCTTCTTCAGAGATGGGCTCAGTGGGGAGGAACAGCAGATATTATGAGCAAAATACAGTTTGCTACAAGAGGGTAGCTTAGGTTGAATCTGAGAAATAAGTGTTCGTAGGGCTGATAGGTCAAGGAGGAACATGAATTATCTAGACTTAATAGTTATTAACACATTACCAGCTTGCATTATCATTCACTTCTCCCTTTCTGGCCAAATTATTTCAAAGTTAATTCTAAATATCACGACACCCTTAAATATACCACATTTCTCTAAAAAGTGAAAATGGATTCTTACATAACCACAATACCATTACTACGTTCAACAAAGTTAATGGTATCTAATACGAAATCTGTGTTCAAATTTCTTTGATTTAAAAAAAATTTATATATATTTTGAGACAGGGTCTCACGTCTGTCATCCAGGCTGGAGTGCAGTGGCATGATCATAGCTCACTGCAGCCTCGACTTCCTGGGCTCAGGTGATTCTCCCACCTCAACCTTCCTAGTAGCTGGGACTACAGGTGCATGCCACCATGCCAGCTAATTGTTTGTATTTTTAGTAGAGGCAGGGTTTTGCCATGTTGCCCAGGCTGGTCTCAAGCTTCTGGTCTAAAGTGATCCACCTGCGTGGGCGTCCCAAAGTGCTGGGATTACAGGTGTGAGCCACAATGCACGGCCTCAAAAAATATTTTTATAGATTAAAATCAGGTTGTCACTTATCCCTAAGGTAATTCATAAAGTTAACATGTCCCAATAAAACAGTGAAATTCTTTTCTGAAATTCACATGGAAAAATAAAGGTGGAAAAATAGGCAAGAATGCACTGAAAAATAAAAGCTATAACAGGGTACTATCCTTATCAGACACTAAAATATGCTACAAAACCTTTAGAATTAAAATGTGTCCTTTGAGTTGAAGCTGCAAGGAGAAAATAAAGAAAGAAAACATTGTGGTGCTGGCCCATGACTAGACAAATAGACCAGTGGAATCAAGAAGTCAACCCAAGTACTTATGGAACTTTGGTATGTGATGAAGGTGGCATCTCAAATTCCTGGAGTAAAGATGGACATTTTAATAAATGGTGTTGGGCAACTAGATATCCATTTGGAAAAACATAACATTGGACCATATACCACACACCATACACAAGAAAAATCCCAAATGACTAGAGATCTAAATGTAAAAAATTAAACCGTAAACACACTAGGATAGGATGGGGGTAAATATTCTATCACCTGGACACAGGAAAAGGTTTTCTAAATTTGGCTAAAAATCCAGATGCCTAGAAGGGAAGAGTGATAAGTTTGACGCTGTAAGCAAAGTCAAAAGAAAGGACTAATTTCCAGGAAATATTTGCCACATACAGTATATCACATATAAAGAGTTATTTTCCATAACATAGAATGAATCTTAAAATTCAAAGAGAAGAACCCTAAAACCAGATAGGAAGAAAATAGGCAAAATACCTAAATAGACGATTCACAAAATAAAATATAACATTGTCCCTTAAATGTTTGAAAAGGTGTTCAACTTCACTTCTAATTAGATAAATGCAAATTAAAACTACACACCATTCTTAACATACCATTGGCAGCATTTAAAAAGGTTGACAGAACACTTGGCTAAGCTGAGGGCTATAGGCAACCTTATACACTGCAGATGGCAATGCAGAAATGCTGCAGCCATTATGGAGGGAAATTTGGCAACATGTAACGAAACTATATATGCATATGCTTTGACCTGGCAATCCTACCTATAGGAATTTACCCTGAAGATTCATCTCCAAAGATATTACACTTGTACAGGGTTATTCATTGTAGCATTGTTTCTGTATAAAAGATCAGAGTAACCTAATTGCCCTTATGTAGTAAATTGGTTGAAGAAGTGATGATACATGACTTCCAAAATGGGGAAGAGCTCCTCTGAACTGATAGGGAGTAAATTCTTGGATATATTAAGTGAAAAGAGCCAAGTGCAAAGAGTGTTTTTAAAAGTGAGAAATTATGAGCATATGCATATCTGTTTCTTCTTTTTTTCTTTTCCCACAAAGTAATACAGGGTTAATAAACCAGAAACTAATGAGATTGGTTAGCTGTGAGGTTATATGTGGGATTTGGCTGGAAGGCTATGGAAAGGAGAGGCATGCCCTTTCTGAATAGTTTTGCACTTTTGGAGCATGTTAGTGTTTAAATACTCAAAGAAAGGAATTAAATCAACAAAGAGAGGGAAAATCCCTACAATCGAATACAAAGAGAAACAAATTTACCTAACTGTGTTCCAAAATAATAACACGACCACAGGTAACAGGGGAAAACAACCCCGTTAACAGAGAGCTTTGACCATACTCCATAGTAAAATGAGGGTTGGCAAACTAGGGTCTACAGGCCAAATCTGTCTCACTGCCTGTTTTTGTAAATAAAGTTTTTTTGGAACAATGAATTATTTATGGCTGCTTTTGTTATACAATGGCAGAGTTAAGCAGTCATGATAGAGACCATGTCACCTACAAACCCTAAAATATTTACTCTGGTTCTTTACAGAAAAAATTGGCCAACTCCTTCTCTATTGACAAAGAAGTGCATGAACTATATGGACTATATTTTGTATATTTGTGTTTTGTAAGGATGTGGGTCCACAATTCTGAAACTATATTCCTTGCATTTTTTTTTTTTTTTAAGATGGAGTTTCGCTCTTGTTGCCCAGGCTAGAGTGCAATCGTGCAATCTCGGCTCACCACAACCTTTGCCTCCCGGGTTCAAGCAATTCTCCTGCCACAGCCTCTCGAGTAGTTGGGATTACAGGCATGTGCCACCACACCTGGCTAATTTTGTATTTTCAGTAGAGATGGGGTTTCTCCACATTGGTCAGGCTGGTCTGGAACTCCCGACCTCAGGTGATCCACCTGCCTCAGCCTCCCAGAGTACTGGCATGAGCCACTGCACCCGGCCTTATTCCTTGCATTTTAAGATTAAGCAAATGAGTAAATATATTGATGATGCAAGACAGATCTCTCAACTATATAGTTCTTTAGAAATATATACTGAATTATTATATAGCAAAGGGGCATGATAGAAAACAGAGTTCCTCAAAATGGCCTCAGTAAATCTAAATTATCTTTAGTGAAATGATGATACTTTCCTAGTAAGGCGTAGGGATTAGAATCATAGTGAGTATACATGGGGTCCCTTTAACAGGGTGTTAAGTGTAAGGAGCTTTTGGTTCCAGTGTTTGACACAAAATAGACACAAATGAGATTTCTTCTCCTACTGAAATGCTTCTCAGTGATGTAGGGTGTTACATCACTGCCGTATATATATTCAGACTGCAGTCTGAATGACTTGGTATGCTTCTAGATAATCCAAAAAGATGGCAGCGAATCACAGTCAAAATATCAAGGCAAAAAGTTCACGTCACAAAGTACCAGAATGACCACAAGTCTTATAAGAGATGACGGGTCAGAAATAGAAACAAATAATGAGTTACTTTGAGAACCCAAGTAAACCAAACAGACTCAGGGAGTGCTCAGTGACAGCAAGCAGAGCCTGACAGCTGCTGAGAGCCTCACCCATGGCAAGGCTGCCAGACAAGCAGCTTTGAGCACATACGGCTCAGTCTACACACAGCTGTGTTCCTCTGGCAGTCCAGCAGTTCCAGCACTGGTCGGTGCCTTGTCAGAGCAACCAAAGGGAAAACACATTGTCAAAAACTAAAACAAAGACCACAAAAGGTCAAAAAATCAAATGGCACAAATCATTTACTTAACAGGAAAGGAGACACAGCAGTGAAGAAATTCACTGTATAGTTTGGCAAGGGGGAAAAATAAAAGGTTTTACTGTTAGGGAGCAGTTTCATGATGGTTATGCTAATTAAGGTTTGAAAACTAGCATTCCAGATAGGATAGGATGAGTTTTTAAGGACAGATACAGTTGATTATAAAGATTCCAGTGTTCATTAGTTAGGCAGAAGTCTTCAGTTAGGCCCAGTAGGGTCTGGGGCCAAGTACGTGGTCATTTCTCAGCATCAGTTGGATAGATCATGTTGTGATGAAATGCAACATCTAGTTTTGATATTTTGTAGGCAGGTGCTGCTGTAAATGAAAAGTTTTTCTTTTTACTGATTTATGAAAAGTGGAAAGAAAGGCAGATTTTGTTGTTTTGGCTTGGTGCCAGAATCCTAAAATCATGGACCATGTCTTTCTTGTTCATTACTGAATTCATAATACTTAGTAGAGAACCTAGTACTTTGGCATTTTCTAATAAGTCTTTGTTTACAGGTGGGCAGCCTGAAATTTATATTTGTTTTATATACAATAATTTCTTTAACCAGTATTCCATACACTTTCTCCTACATTCGGAAGCCCTCCAGAATGAGGGACTTTTTATGTCTATCAGACCCTTTTTTATATAATAAGAAAAGTCATGAAGGAGATTTCCACATGTGTCATAGAGACCACTATCTCCAAGCAGAACAAAGAGCTGTGGACAGTATATACCAATGTGAATGTCTATGGCTTAGGAGAAGGCTAACTATGATTGAAGCTGTTTACAGAGCAGAATACTCACTTGAGAGGTTCCTGGTTTCTCAAGATATTTTTGTTATGGATTTTCTGGATTGCAATAGAAAATGTGATGGAATGTAAAGGAATCATTGTTCAGAAGCAAATTGTGTTATACTTATATTATCAATTATAGGCATGGCAGTAAAACATTCTCTGTCCTAAGACAAGGCAGAACAACTCAGCAGCCCTACTTATGGCTACTCTAACAGAAAACTTTCATTCTTCAGCAGAACCAAAGCCAGAAATCTACACTTGTTCCTCCTGCCTTCTGGCCTTCTCCTGTCAGCAGTTCCTCAGTCAACATGTACTTCAGATCTTCCTGGGCTTATGTGCAGAAAATCACTTCCATCCAGGGAATTCTAGCCCAGGGCATTGGAAACAGCAGGGGCAGCAGTATTCCCATGTAAGCTGTTGGTTTGAAAATGCAGAAGGTCAGGAGAGAGGAGGTGGCTCCAAACCCTGGTCTGCAAGGACAGAGGAGAGAGAAACCTCAAGGGCATTCCCCAGCCCACTCCAAAGACAGTCAGCAAGTCCTAGAAAAGGCAACATGGTGGTAGAAACAGAGCCCAGCTCAGCCCAAAGACCAAACCCTGTGCAGCTAGACAAAGGCTTGAAGGAATTAGAAACCTTGAGATTTGGAGCAATCAACTGTAGAGAGTATGAACCGGACCATAACCTGGAATCAAACTTTATTACAAACCCGAGGACCCTCTTAGGGAAGAAGCCCTACATTTGCAGTGATTGTGGGCGAAGCTTTAAAGATAGATCAACCCTCATCAGACACCATCGTATACACTCGATGGAGAAGCCTTATGTGTGCAGTGAGTGCGGGCGAGGTTTTAGCCAGAAGTCCAACCTCAGCAGACACCAGAGAACACATTCAGAAGAGAAGCCTTATTTGTGCAGGGAGTGTGGGCAAAGCTTTAGAAGTAAGTCCATCCTCAATAGACATCAGTGGACTCACTCAGAGGAGAAGCCCTATGTTTGCAGCGAGTGTGGGCGAGGCTTTAGCGAGAAGTCATCCTTCATCAGACACCAGAGGACACACTCCGGTGAGAAACCCTATGTGTGCCTGGAGTGTGGACGAAGCTTTTGTGATAAGTCAACCCTCAGAAAACACCAGAGGATACACTCAGGGGAGAAGCCTTATGTTTGCAGGGAGTGTGGGCGAGGCTTTAGCCAGAACTCAGATCTCATCAAACACCAGAGGACACACTTGGATGAGAAGCCTTATGTTTGCAGGGAGTGTGGGCGAGGCTTTTGTGACAAGTCAACCCTCATCATACACGAGCGGACGCACTCTGGAGAGAAGCCTTATGTGTGTGGTGAGTGTGGCCGAGGCTTTAGTCGGAAATCACTCCTCCTTGTCCACCAGAGGACACACTCAGGGGAGAAGCATTATGTCTGCAGGGAGTGTAGGCGAGGTTTTAGCCAGAAGTCAAATCTCATCAGACACCAGAGGACGCACTCAAATGAGAAGCCTTATATTTGCAGGGAATGTGGGCGAGGCTTTTGTGACAAGTCAACCCTCATTGTACATGAGAGGACACACTCAGGAGAGAAGCCTTACGTGTGCAGTGAGTGTGGCCGAGGCTTTAGCCGGAAATCACTCCTCCTTGTCCACCAGAGGACACACTCAGGGGAGAAGCATTATGTTTGTAGGGAGTGTGGGCGAGGCTTTAGTCATAAGTCAAATCTCATCAGACACCAGAGGACACACTGACGGGAGAAACCTGTGTATGCAGGGGTCATGAACAAGACCTGAGTGACCAGTCAAGCCTCATGTTACCCCAGAGAGACACATGGGGAGTAGACCCTGTGTACACAGATTGTGAGTGAAGTTCCAGAGATGTGTCAGCCCTTATCAGGCATGGGAGGGACACGTTCAGGAGAGGAGCCTTATGAGTATAGAGTACGGGCAACTGTAGCCATCAGTCAGCCTTGAGCATGCACAAAAGGACACACTTAGGAGAGAAGTTTATGTGTAGGGACTGTGGGAAGGCTTTAGCAATAATCAACATTTACCAGACATCCAATGACAGCCTCAGGGGAAAGCACCCTTGTCTGGGGAGTGTTGGGGAGCATCAGTAAAAGAATGGACACTCAGGCACAGAGTGGCCCTCAGGAAGGAGGTCTTTGTTTGTAGGATGTATGGGCAAAGCTTTTGTGATCACACACCACAGGGAGAATCTGCATGTGGGGACACTGTGGAGCTCTGCCCAGATGACCTTTTCAGGGGTAACACCCCAGCTGCTTGAGAGAACAGTGTTGCTGCTGGCAGAGATGCATTCCAGAGATGCACTCCGCTCTGGAACTCACTCTCAGCCACAGGGAGCTGCATGCACCACAGGGGCAATGCACCTTTGCAGGGGTACCTTCTGGCCCCAACCCTTGACTCAACGGGGACAACTCCAGAAGGTCATTCCAGATCCAGAGATCCCCATCGAACTGAAGGATCACTGGGTTGCAGACACATTGCAGGTCAGCTTCTTCCTCTGCCCAGTCCTGCCCTCACTCCCCAGTGAATCCTCAATTTTCTGTCTCGTTGTCTGTCCAGATAATTGATTCTAAGACATGTTAGGTATATAAGGAGTGTAGATAAGGCTTCAGCCATGAGTCACCCCGCAGTAAGCCCCAGAGTATATTGAATAGAAATTCTGCATGTGTGGGGAGAATGGACAAGGACTTAGGAAAAAGTCCTCATCAAAGAACAGCTTTTTTGGGACAAGCTTTACATGGGTGGGGAGGGAAAATGTGAAACACATTAGCAATAAGTTAAACCTCATCTTGTACTAAAGGAGGACACACTCAGGGAGAAGACCTCTGTGGGCAGGGCTTGTGGGTGGAGCTTCATCCCGATGTCACTCCTCAACTGACTTAGGAGGACAGTCTTGCTACCCCAAGTCACTACCTCACTCACCTCTGAGGGATTTTCAGGAAATGTCTTGACTCCCCCATGTACTCTGTATGTGAGCGAAGATGGCAGTAACTGTTAAATAAGCATTCTTTTCTACTTCTTGGAATCAGATGAAATAAAAAAGCAGGCTTTATTTAAGTAATCAAAAAATGATCAACTTGTTTTATTTTCATATACCAGTTCTTTCCCGTGTTTTCTTATCCCTTTGTTTTAGTTCAAAATTTCTTCAATAAGTTCAGGCTGTGTAGCTTGGCCACTCATCTGACTGAAAGGGTGCAAGGAATTCAAATTCACAGTCAGGGTTTCCTGCATAAATTCAACCCTTGAGAATCAATCTAATAGATTTTTTTGGAGAATTTGATCCTTTTCATGTGGAGGAGTGATTAGGTTCTAGAGACAGGCCAGTTGCAGGGAGGGGATTTTCCAGGTCTCCAGGGCTGGGCTGCCTCTTCTCCAGACTGATCACTTTCTTCAGCTTCTGTGAAAGCTTCCTTCCCTAGGTATTCTCTCTCTCTCTTTGTGTGTTTCTCTTTCTCTCCCCATCTTGCCTTCTCTCTTTTTCTTTCTTTCTGCAGGTGTCTTTGCTGAATACTTCTCTATTCCACTGAATTTTTGCAGTCCTTAATGATCTGCTCATGTCCTCCAGTTCCAGGGACCCTTTAACCACATCCCCTCTGCAGCCTTCCAGATTGCAGAGGCAGGTCCTTTAACCATGCCCAAACTGTTCTCTAGTCATGAGTCATTGCTTTGGGCCTCTTAGCTACTCCCCATGTCAGATCAACAATAATAGATGTAAAGACCCCTAAACATAGCTCCGATACCATGTCCCCTTGGCCCTCCAATTCTAGGGCCCAGTCCTGCTAATGATACCCACACATCATCCCTTTAATAACTGGTCTGAGGCAACCTAGCCATACTCCGTCCATTGTTTTTCAGGCCAAGGATCTGCCCTTTAGCCACACCCTTTTAAAATCTTCCTCCCTCAGAGCCCAAATTGCCCAGACTTTTGAATAAACTCCACATGCCCTGGCTCTGATTTTCTGTCTTGGACCAATAACTATTCACTGGAGAGGGTCTTCCTAGGCTCCAGCAACTTTGTTTGCCCAATTGGAGTTTGCAAGATCCATAAAATGCATATCAGGCTTGGAAAATCAGAAGAAGCATGAAGTGTTTTGGACACCTCATTCAAGGAGAGGATGAAAAAAGAAAGAGTTACTGGCTCCAAGGCCTCTCCCCACTTGCCTCCCCCAGGCATGAAGTTAGCTGTCTTAATCTGTTTTCTGCTGTTATAACAGAATGTCACAGACTGAGTGATTTATAATGTACAAAAACTTATTTGGCTTATGGTTCTAGAGGATGGGAAGTCCAAGAGCATGGTGCCAGCACCTGGTGGGGGCCTTTATGCTGCATCATCCCATGGTGAAGACAGCAGAGCAAGCGAATATGTGAGACAGAGAGCAAAAGGGGGCTGGAATTACCCTTTTTATCAGGAGCCCACTCCAGTATAATTAATCCACTCCTGTGATATTGGCATTGTTCTTGAGGGCTCAGCCCTCGTAACCTAATCATCTCTTAAAGGTCCCACCCATAAATCTCATCATAATGGCAATTGAATTTCAACATGAATTTTGGAGGAGACATTCACACCATAGCATCAATTACGCAGTGGCTCCTCAGTCAGGTCTGATGAGGGAAAAGGATGTGCATGTCTGGGAGTGTGGGCCCCCACCCTTTGCCAGAACTGCCCCTATAACACCAACTTCTGATCAGAATTGGAGGCCACTGAGGGAAAAGTATATGCAGGCATATAATCTCTAGGGTTTTGAAGAGGGAAGGGGTAGGCCCTCCCCATTCCGGACAATCCCAACATTCCTCCTACCATTGGGAAAGAAAAAAGCAAACAAGAAAACTAGCTCTTACTTTTGAAAAAAGGAGTGGAAAGAAAAAAATGATGCAGAATTATTGTTTTTTACTGAAATCCCCCATAACCTATAGCGACCTCAGATGTGGCCCAGGGAAAGGGCTGCCTGCCCTAGCCCAGCAGAGGGAGAGGGGCAAAGATGTCATCTTTCCAGCCCTGGAAGGGGCTTCCTCAGGCTGTGCTGACTCCCCTCCTTTGTTTCTAGGAAGGGTCACTATCAGGACCTTTCCACTCCATCCCAGAAGGAAACAGAATTGAAACGTACTAGAGTTTCTCTCAGAAGAAAGAGAGATGCAAATTCTCCACTCCAGGACTATGGCTTTGGTGCCTAAGAAGGAAGAGTTCAGTTTTTGTGTAGAGCTTATTTCCAACATGAGATGGGTGTTCAAATGCCTGCAGCATCCAAACAAGTCCTGTTAATGAGGGGACCAGATTGGGTGGGGTGGGGAGTACTTTAGAGAACTGGGGGACTCAAACTAAAGTCAGATTGCTACCTGCATCCTTCCTGGCCTCACCATCTAAGCCTCACTCCAAGAAGTCTTGAGCTCCACCTCTTTTTGGCCTTTTAATTTAGCTATCCATGTCCTACCCATTTTTTCAAACCATGGTCTTGAGTTCAGAACCCACCATCATTCTACCTTACTTTTAGTTTTAGAATTTTTTTTTATATTGATTTTTGCTGAGTTTTCTGAAAAATTGGTAGTGGATTGCCAGGCATGGTAGCTCATGCCTGTAATCCCCAGCATTTTGGGAGGCCATTGTGGGAGGATCACTTGAGCCCAGGACTTTGAGACCAGCCTGGGCAAAATAGTCAGACCTTGTCTCTTTGGGGAAAAAAAAAAATCAATTTTAGTTTGGAAACATTTGACCTAGTAATCGCAATGAGCAGAAACAACGAAATCTGACCAAAAAACTTACAGAAATATGACTACCTGGAGTAGTCATAAGGTGGTACCTTGTGTGATGAGTCCACAGAAAGGATTTGGGTTGAAGGGACTTTCAAGATGGCAGGCAATCTGACAGCACCTGGTTGTGAAATTAGGTAAAGTGATTCAGATTAAAGGTGAAATAATTTATACACGCAAGCTCTAACCTAATTTCAAAATATCTGTGCATATATTTCTCCTATATCCAAAGTAAGTTGGCCGGGCGCGGTGGCTCACACCTGGTGCTGGGCTCAAATCCAAAACTCCCAAAGTGCTGGGCTCAATCCCAGCACTTTGGGAGGCTGAGGCAGGTGGATCACCTGAGGTCAGGCATTCGAGACCAGCCTGGCCAACATGGTGGAACCCTGTCTCTACTAAAAATACAAAAATTAGCCAGGTGTGGTGGCACATGCCTGTAATCCCAGCTACTTGGGAGGCTGAGGCAGGAGAATTGCTTGAACCTGGGAGATGGAGGTTGCAGTGAGCCAAGATCACACCATTGCACTGCAGTCTGGGTGACAGAGTGAGACTTCGTTTCAAACAAAAACAAAGTAAGCACATATAATTTTTTAAATCATTTTTTCTAAAAGAGAGAAAATGGTAGAGGATTCTTGACAGACATGAGATTCTCTCATTGCATAATCTTTTTCTATACCATGTTATGCTTTTTTATTTTCTCTAATATGCATGAAATGTGTAAGGGATAAAATCTGCATTCTCGTGGAAAGATTATTTTTATCTAGCCCCATATCTTATTCATTAATTTTAACCTAGAAATCATTTTGGAGAACAGCCAAACACTCAGCTGCTCTTTGATTAAAGAGAAATTTGGGACTGGTTGGAGCATGACATTCTAGAATCCCAAAAAAAAAAAAAAAATAATGAAACAAGGTTCCTAGAGTTCTACCTAACTAGTGTTCTTGAAGGGTAAAAGCATTCCTTCTGTGAGTTATGGGGCAATAGTTGATGACTAGAAAAATCTCACAAAGCCAGGTTACACATGAGGATAGGTGATGCTCTATCTGCTACTGATGCAGACCCCAAGGCCGAGTCCAGCTTCCCCAGCTCGGCCCACTCTCAGGTAGAGCAGTTGCTCAGCAGCGCCCTTACTGCTGCCAGCCATCAGTTCTTACCTCTTCCCTGCTTTCCAATTCCTTTGGGAACTAGAAAGCGATTTTTTGGCTGGCAGAAAGAGAGCTGAGTTTTGTAAATTTTAATGCTACTTAAAATCGTTTTTGTCTTAGCTTCCTCTCTTCTGTGTCTGTTCTAGTAACCTGTAACCTAGGTTAAAGAAGAAGGGCCTGTACCTTCTCCTAAGTCACGGCCACTAAAAGTGGCTTGTCTTTTTTTTTTTAATGGAGACAAGGTTTTACTATGTTACCCAGGTGGTCTTAAGCTCCTGGGCTCAAGCAATTCTCCCACCTTGGCCTTCTAAAGTGTTAGGATTACAGGCATGAGCCACTGCATCTGGTCACCTGTCTTGAGAGAAAGGCTCAACCTGTAAAAATCTTTGAGTAAATAAATTGTGCAGTATTGGAGGTACACTTGACATAGCTAGTAAGAATATGAAAACATTTCCAATCAGATTTTCTGCTGAATATATTGACAAAGGAATTTCATATGGGGCTGGAGATCTAGAAGAGATATTGCAGAGAATCCGAGAGGAAACTTAAGAGAATGAAAGGAAGTGTGATAAACAGCACTGAGACCAGTAAAAATCTGGGAAGTCAGAAGTATTGCAGTTGTCCAGGCAAAATTTATAACAAGCTATGGCAACAGCAGAGTGGACTGAAAGAGAAGATAGACTTCATAGGGTTTGTCTCCAAAGCACTTGGTGATTGCCTGAATGTAGAAGACAGGCAAGAATGTAAAAGAGGACTCTCACAAACACAGCTTTCGAACAGTAGACACATTTGCAAAAGAGAAAAAGTTCTCACCACTCCAGGAATCCAAGCAGAAAGTCAACACCCCTCTTATCTGTGTTTACCATAAGAATAGTTTCTTCTCTAGAGGGTAAGTCAAACTGGGTGTCCTCTTTTTCCCATCTGCGTCCAGGATTGTGCCTTTCTATGTGGTAGAGTACGTCTGTGTGTGTATGTGAAATTGTGCCAATTATCAACTTATTGTTTGAGCTTCAAATTCTTGTGTTGCCTGGTCTGTGAAAATGGATCTGGGCCCTTTACGTGTTTCCTTTGCCAGCTGGCATAAGGTTTATCAGTAGAGGGCACCAGAGCAACACTGCAGGGAGAAGGGTCCTCTTTCTTGGGTCAGGTGGCTCTTTCACCAGGTCCTGGAGAGTACCTGTTTTTTTTCTTTTCTATTTTTTTTTTTTTTAAGATAGAGTTTTGCTCTTGTTGCCCAGGCTGGAGTGCAATGGCGTGATCTTGGCTCACTGCAACCTCTGTGAGAGTACCCATTTTTACTCTACTCCATGGCCAGTGAAGTTTTCTCCCGTGCTAAATGCCTGCAGGACACAGCTTTTTCTACCAATTGGCCACCATAGGAGTATGTTTTGTCCAGCTCTCCACTCAGGCACTGGTGGCTCAGTTGGGAGCCTAAACAGCACAGGCCTGTGCCCCAGCCCAGGCCACTGCCATACCCTCTCTGCAGCCTCACTGGTACAAATGCTGGGGGCCCCACGGGACTGGCCGTCTAGCAAGCAGACCACCTGACCTCCTCCTGTGCGGAGGCTTGAGCCTCCCCAGCCCACACTGACCCTCTCCCCAGCTCTAGTGCATGCACACTAGGGCCCCAGTAGCCACTGTTGGGTCTCCCAGCCCAAGCTGTGCACAGAAGAGTACTAGGTTCTTGCAGCTCTCCAGCCTCCATTTCCAGCAGTGCCCACAGCAGCGCCTTGGCCGCCTCCGCTCATCCGCCCATTAACCTTGGCTCCTGTTGTTTCCTTAGGCCTTCCCCACACAGACACCATGTGATCCAGGCCTTGTGTCAACATCAACACCCCAGCTCTCTCTGTATTCCCAATTCCCTCTGTGTACTATTTGCCAGCTTTGGCTTGCTTGTGCCCCAGAGGGTTATTTCTGCTTGCTTAGTGACTGTGGACCAACTCTGGCCTGCACAACCTTCCCCCTCAAACTTTTCTGCTATCCAGTAGGCTGCAACCACAACTCCAAGAAGGACTGAACCCTAGCCTTGGGGAGGGAACCCTCCTTCCAAGTTTATCCTTGGGTAATCCCCCTCAGCTGTAGGATTTTCTTTTTGTATTTACATTTATCTTTGGAAAATAATTTTTTTGGGGGGTGGGGATCGAGTCTTGCTTTGTTGCCCAGGCTGGAGTGCAATGGCACGATCTCAGCTCACGGCAACATCCACCTCCCTGGTTCAAGCATTTCTCCCTGCCTCAGCCTCCTGAGTAGCTGGGATTATAGGCACCCGCCACCACAGCCGGCTAATTTTTGTATTTTTAGAGATGGGGTTTCACCATGTTGCCAGGCTGGCCTTGAACTCCTGACCTCAGGTGATCCGCCTGCCTCAGCCTCCCAAAGTGCTGGGATTAAAGGCATGAGCCACCATCCCTGGCAAAATAATTCTTTAATTTAAATTACTGTATGGTTTCTGTCTCCCTGTCGAACGTAGATTGATACAAGTGTGAAGGTATATGTGTGTGTTTTTAAAATGAGGGAAAAGACATGAATTTTGACTGCATATATTTGGTGAGCCCAGAGATAAGCCAAATAAATAATGCAAGTCAAAACTATTAATTATGAATACTCAGCTGGGGCTGTGACCCTGAATCTAGACACAGAAATCTAATGGTCTACATCAGAGGTTGGCAAACTACAGCCTAAATGCCAATCCTTGCTGATCACATGTTTTTGTGTGGCCTTGAGCCACACAAAATGTAAATGGTCTTTACATTTACATTTACACAAAATGTAAATGGTCTTTACATTTTAAATGGTCGCAAAGAATTTAAAGGATAATAATATTTTGTGACATCTATTTGTATCCATAAATAACATTTTATTGGAACCCAGCCACACTCATTTGCTAGGTATTGAGTATAGCTGCTTCCATGGTACATGGTAAAGTTGAGTAATTGCAACAGAGACCAAATGGCTCGATAGCCCTAAAATGCTCTCTGCCCTTAACAAAAAAAATATTGGAAACTAACCAGTCTTATACATATTTTAAAAAAGTTTGCCCGCCCCTGATCTAGACTGAAACTTGGGACCATTTTATCAAGTAAATACCAGATGAATTGCCTGTTTAATCCCCGGCTCTGAATTCATGACCTCTTTTCCCTTATTTGTAGATTGGCAAACTAATTGAGTTGCAAGGCATCTAGAATAGCCAAAACAACCTTGAAAAAGAAAAAGGAGGAGGATTCACACTTTTTCTGACTTCATATAGATCAAAGGAATAGAATTGGAAGTCCAGAAATAAAACCATGTGTCAATGGTCAAATGATTTTCCACTAGGGTGCCAAGATTATTCAGTGGGGGAAAGAAGAGTCTTTTTAACAAATGATGCTGAGCTAACTGTATATCTACTTAGAAAAGAATACAGTTTGACCCTACCTTATACCATATATAAAATATGAACTAAAAATATATCAAAAATCTAAATGTAAGAGCTAAAACTATAAAACTATTAGAAGAAAACAAAGGGGTAAATCTTCATAATCTTAGATTTGGCAGAAAAGATTTTTCTTATTGCACCAAAAACATGAGCAACAACAACAACAAAAAGATAAATTAGACTTCATCCAAATTAAAAAACTTTTGTACAGGATATTACCAAGAAAGTGAAAAGGCCAGGCATGGTGGCTCATGCCCGTAATCCCAGCAGTTTGGGAGGCTGAAGTGGGTGGATTGCTTGAATCCAGCTTGGGCAACGTGGTGAAACCCTGTCTCTACAAAAAAAAAAAAAAATAACAAAAATTAGCCACCGTGGTGGCATGCATCTGTAGTCCCAGCTACTCGGAAGGCTGAGGTGGGAGAATCGCTTGAGCATTGGAGGTCAGGCTGCAGTGAGCTGTGATCGCACCACTGCACTGCAGCCTGGGTGATGGGGTGAGACTCTGTCTCAAAAAAAAAAAAAAAAAAAAAAACTCACAGAATGGGAGAAAACCTGTATAAATCATATATCTGACAAGGAACTTGTATCTGTAATGTAGAAAGAATTCTTACAACTCAATAATAAAAGTCAAATGGTCCAATTAAAAAATGAGAAAAGGATCTGAATGGGCATTTCTCCAAGGATGATATATAAATGGCCAACAAGCACATGAAAAGATGTTCAACATCATTAGTCATGAGGGAAATGCAAATCAAAACCACGATGAAATTGATAGCACTTCACATTAAGATGGCTTGAATCAAAAAGTCAGATAATAACAAATATGGGTGAAGATGTGGAGAAATCAGAACCCTCATACGCCACTTGTGGGAATGTATCATGGTGAAGCCACTTTGGAAAACAGTCTGGCAGTTCTTCAAATGGTTAATCAGAATTATCATATGACTCAGAAATTCCACTCCTATCTGGATACCAAAGAGGAATGAAAGCATGTCCACGTGAAGACTTGTACACGATGTTTACAGCAGCATTATTTATAACAGCCAAAAGGTGGAAGCAATCCAAATGTTCGTCATTTGATGAACTGATAAAATATGGTAGTTCCCTCCTTATCTGAGGAGGTTATATTCCAAGATCACCAGTGGATTCATGGAACGGCAGATACTACCAAACCCTATATATACTATTTTCTCTTATACATACATAGCTATGATAAAGTTTAATTTATAAATTAGGTACAGTAAGAGATTAACAATACTAATAGAACAGTTATAAAAATATACTGTAATAAAAGTTATATGAATGTGGTCTCAAAATATCTTGTACTGTACTCACCTATTTTTATACTGCAGTTGATTGTGGGTAACTGAAACCACAGAAAGTGAAAGATGGATATGGGGGGACTACTGTACATCCATACAATGGAATGTTATTTGGCCATAAAAAGGAATGGAGTATTGATACGTGTCATGACATGGATGAGCCTTAAAAACATTGTGCTAAGTGAAAGAAGGTAGTCACAAAAGACCACGTATTATTATATGATTCCCTTTATATACATTTTCTAGAATGTCCTTCATAATATTCATCCTTCTGATAGACCTGAGTGTAGGTTCAGGTCTCTGCTCACATACCACTCCTCAGAGAAGTTTCCCCTGACCACCTAGCCAAAACTGTACCCTATCCCTCTCAGTTCCTCTGCCTTTATTTATTTTTTTCATATCACTCTAATGTTACATTGCATACTTATTTATTTGGTTTACTATGTCTTTCTCAGTAGGATGTAAAGCTCCGTGAGGGAAAGGACTCTATCCCAATAATGGTGCATGGCCTTAGTAGATGCTAAATAAAAATGATTTTAAATGCATGCATGAATGAAGTGTTAGGCAGCTGGGTAAGGTGGGGGCAAATGAACAGCTGAGGAGCCAGACGGACCTATATTCCCACTCTGACTCCGCCACTTTGGGCAACATAATTCATTTCTATGAGGCTTCGCCTCTTCATCTACAGGTGACAGGAAACGGGACAACAGAACACACCCTTTAGAGATGGTGTGAAGATGGCAAAGCACCAAGGTGGAAGCTCTCCTTGCTGGGTTTGAGGAACAGCAAGGAGATTAGTGTGACTGGAGAAGGATGAATGAGGGCAATGTTGACGGAGATGAATGAGGTTGGAGAGGAGCGCAGAGCTAGATTTTATTCCATGTGTGCTGGGAAGTTTTTGGTAAGTGGAGACCAGGACATGACATCATCTGATATCCCAGTACGTTTAGAAGGATCCCTCTGGCTGCCGTGAGAACAAGAAAGGAAGCAAAGAGACAAGTTACGGGCTCGTTCAATGATCCAAGACAGAGACGATGGTGGCTATGACTAGAGTGGACGCAATGGAGTGGGTGACAACAATCATATTCAAGATAATTTGAAGGTGGGGGCCACAGGATTTGCTGATGAATTTGATTATTCGATGGCAGAGAAAGAGAAGAATGAAATATGCTTCAAATTTGTCATTTTCTTTTTTTTCTTTTTTAATCCAAGAAACTTCGGGGATGGGGAACACTGGTGAAGTGGTTTTAGAAACAGTGAATAGAATCAAGAATTCAGTTTTCAACATGTTAAATTTGGTATACCTATTAGACATTCACATCACGCTGGCAGCTGGATATAAAGGGCCAAGAGTTAAATGAAGAGACCAAGGTTAGAGGAACAAACTTGAAAGCCTTGGGTGTATATGCTGTATTTAAAAGTCATAGGAAGGGCCCAGTGTGATGGTTCACGCCTGTAATTCCAGCACTTTGGGAGGCCAAAGTGGGTGGATCAGGAGTTCGAGACCAGGAGTTGAGGTCAGGAGTTCGAGACCAGCCTGGCCAACATGGCAAAACCCCGTCTCTACTAAAAATACAAAAATTAGCCGAGTGTGGTGGCACAGGCCTGTATTCCCAGCTACTCGGGAGGCTGAGGCAGGAGAATCGCTTGAACCGGGGAGGCAGAGGTTGCAGTGAGCCGAGATTGTGCCACTGCACTCCAGCCTTGGTGACAGACTGAGACTCTGTCTCAAAAGAAAAAAAAAAGTCATAGAAAAAAAATAAATGTCATACGACTGGATGCGATTATCAGCAAATATGGGTAGAGCCCTTATTTTGTGCTAAAGTGTTCTAGGCACTACAGCAATGAGTAATACACAAAGAGAAAAATTCACACCCTTATGGATCTTACATTCTAATGGGGAGGGGATAATAAAATAACTAACAAAAATATACAGCGTGTTAGATAGCAAGAGGGAAATACAGGAGAGATGAGGATGAGGTGGGTGGGAAGGTTACAGGATGGCTAGGGAAATCCTCACTGGGAAAATGTTATTTAAGCTTAAACCTTGAAAGAGGTGAGGGCAGCAGCCTTCTGGTATACCTTGGGGACTACCATTCCAGGCAGAGGCGAAAGCAAATGCAGAGGGGCTGAAAAAGGAGCACGTCCAGCCAGTGGAGGGAAAAGCAAGAATAGTGACTGTAGAGGAGAGAGCCGGGGAGGGTGATGGGAAATGAGGACCGAGAGGTTAATGGGAAAGGCGGGGTGAAGAGAAATGAGTGTGACACAGAGCAGCTCTCAGTACGGATTTAAGCTAGGAAGGTGTCCAAACAGGAACTTAAGGCTCTCCTTACGTCAAAGCCGGATGTTAACGCCCAGTCCCCAGGCCCCGCCTCTGCTCGGCAGAAGCTCCGCTCCGGGGCCGGAACTCCAGGGCTAGTGAGCTGGACCGGAAGTAGGTTTCTACCCGACCGCATTTTACGTGGTGCTGCATTTCCGGTAGCGGCGGCGGGAAATCGGCTGTGGGAGAGAGGCTAGGCCTCTGAGGAGGCGAATCCGGCGGGTATCAGAGCCATCAGAACCGCCACCATGGTAAGGAGGGCACAGGCTGGCGGCGCGGGAGCTTCCGAGTCTGTTGTGGAGTGGGAACCGCGACTGATCGGGGAGGAAGCCGTGGGTTGGAGCCACTTAGGGCGGTGAAGGCCTGGGCCGAGGCCGCTCGGTCTGGGCGGGAAAGACCAGGACCTTGGCGGTTCGGCTAGGCATGGGGTCGAGGAAAAGGTTGGAACCGGTGTCGGAGGCCGAGGTCGCTCGGCAGGGGCGAGGGTAGAACCGCGGCTCTCGACACCGCTGTAGCCATAATTCCTGGGACCCAGTAGGCACTAAGTTAACTTTTGCCGAATAAATATATGTCCCGGGCTTCGGAGCAGGCACTGGAGCCGCAGGGGGACCCGGTAAAAGGCTCAGACTTGCGGAAGTTTGTGAGTCTGAGAAAGAGTTGGCGGAAGTGGGTGGAAGGGGCTCGTGGACCACGCTAGAGTCTCGCTAGGTCTGCTGGATGGAGAGGAGGGCGGAGGAGGGTGATGGCGAATGGAGGAAGAGCTCCACTCAGTTGCTCATCACGTTTCCGTGTTTGCCTGTGCCTGACTTCTCAGGCGCTGGGGCTACTCTCTGAAATATGTTTGCTTCCTTCACAGAGGTAGCTGGGGACACATAATATAATTCAGTGTGGTCATTCGGTAAAAGTAACGGCAGCGGGGCGGGGTAAGAATGTTTTCTCAAATAGATGGTTCCTGAGCAGATTCCTAAAAGATTAGCAAGAATGTTCCCGGCGAAAATGGGGGGAATATTACAGACCCGGAGAACTGAAGGAACAAAGGCTGAAGGGTAACAAGATTTAAAAAGTTACTGGATTTTTCTGCGTTTGTTGACTGAGAAAAAGTTGCTGGAGGAGAAAGGAAGAAAGAAGGGAAGACGGGAAGAATTGGCAGGAGGCTAGTTACTAAAGGCCTTGCATGTTAATTTTACCTCAGTGGTGGTGAGGCATGTCATTGAAGGATTTAATTTAATTTATTTTTATTTTTTTGAGACGGAGTTTTGCTTTTGTTGCCCAGGCTGGAGTGCGGTGGATCGATCAGGGTTCACTGCAAACTCCACCTCCCGGGTTCAAGCGATTCTCCTGCCTCAGCCTCCCAAGTAGCTGGGATTGTAGGTACCCGCCACCACACTTGGCTAATTTTTTGTATTTTTAGTAGAGACGGGGTTTCACCATGTTGGCCAGACTGGTCTCGAACTCCTGACCTCAGTTAATCCACCCACCTTGGCCTCCCAAAGTGCTGGGATTACAGCCGTGAGCCACCACACCCTGCCCACTGAAGGATTTTAACCAGCAAAATGACATAAGCTTAGTGGTGTTTAGAAAGATTGCTCTAGCTCTGGCATGTATATTCGATGGGACTGGAAGCAGGGAAACCTGGTAGGATATTGTTTGGATAACTGGTTAGAATAGGCGCTGGATTCATTTTGTCTAGGTTCCAACACAGCTTCCCAGCTGTGAAACTGGGCAAGTTACTTAACCTCTCCTAGCCTCAGTGACCTCATCTGTAAAATAGGGATAATAATGGGCCCAATTTTGGGGATTAAATGAGATGTACTGTGCTTATCACAGTGCCAGATACACAGTGAGCACCCAGTAAACATTAGTTGAGCTGGACCAGTGAATGTTGCCCTAAAGGTTCAGATCCCTTGTGGTTAGAAGCTGGTTAAAATGGTCATTGAATGGAAACTGAACCACCTAACCTGAGGGAGGCTCGCAGTATCTTTGTGTGGAGTCAAGTTTTGTTTTTGTTTTTTTGAGATGGAGTCTTTCCCTGTCACCCAGGCTGGAGTGCAGTGGCATGATCTCAGTTCACTGCAGCCTCCACCTCCCAGGTTCAAGCGATTCTCCCATCTCAGTCTCCCGAGTAGCTGGGATTACAGGCACCTGCCACCACGTGTGGCTAATTTTTGTAATTTTAGTAGAGACGGGGCTTCGCCATGTTAGCCAGGCTGGTCTTGAACTCCTGACCTAAGGTGTTCTGCCCACCTCGGCCTCCCAAAATGCCGGGATTGCAGGAGTGAGCCACTGAGCCCGGCCATGGAGTCAAGGTTTTGATCTGCATATTTGCAGGTTCAGAACTTTGTTGTCTGAGCTCACAGAGATGAACAGATGTCCATAGAAGGCACTTGGTGGGTTAGGACTTGGGTATAGCAGTCAGACTGATGGGAGGATGATATACAGATCAAATGCCAGGTGATTTGTTTATAGAGAGAAATACAACTGCTTAGGGTACCTGACAGTTCACAAAGTGATACCTATATAGTCACTTCTTTATTTTAGCACATTGGAACCCAGGTTATGAAAGCAGAAATGTTTGTTGGGTTAAAGACCATTATATGTCCAAACTGGTTAGCACCCTAACCATCAGAAGTTTCCCTCTGCCAAATATAGTCTTGGAGGCACACTAACAAATTCTTGATATGTGGATTTCATTTTTCACCTTGAAGCTGATCTCCTTCCTGATAACAAGCTTCTTGTTGATTAGATTTTTAGTTTCAGCCCTATTCTAGCTCTTCCTTTACTCAGTGTTTTTAATGAGATTTGAATGTTCCATAGCACTTGAGTCACATATCTATAATCTGCACACTGGTAGATGGCTCTAGTATGTATGCATTGGATTATTTTGGGGACACCCTATACTCTCATCCCTGCAACTGACACGACAAGGAGAAAGGCAATTATAATATGAGAAAGACCGATTTCAAGGGAAGAGAGAATAGCAGATTACTGGGTAGAGGTCAGGGCTAAAACAGGGTGGCATGGGAGAATTCCTAGGAAAAGGCTGTGGGTGGGAGACTGAGCTAAGAATCTGTTGAGAAAGTTGGACACATGGACAAGAACGCCATGGGAAGTTTTGGGGAGGGCCAGAGGTGCTTGGGTCCAAAAGAGCAGAGTCTCATCCCTGTCCATTTCTCCTTGCAGACGGTGGGCAAGAGCAGCAAGATGCTGCAGCATATTGATTACAGGATGAGGTGCATCCTGCAGGACGGCCGGATCTTCATTGGCACCTTCAAGGCTTTTGACAAGCACATGAATTTGATCCTCTGTGACTGTGATGAGTTCAGAAAGATCAAGTGAGGAGTGGACTGTGGGGGGCGGAGACTGGAGGATGGGAATGGATTGAGTGGGTGGGCCAAGCAATAGAGGTGGTGATGTAGCTAGTTGGTTCTTCTCTGTTTATTCTCCAGTTTTAGAGGGCAGACTTAAATGGGGACATTGAACGCTAAGAAATCTTTTTGAGTCCAGCAAACCTTGCTCTCTAGTCTAGCAAAGTACAAGTTGTGAAGGGCTGCTAGGCTTTTTGTTTCTCTCACTTTGCGTGCCCCTGGGTACTGGGGTAAAGGGCTCTCATGTTCTCCCCACAGGTGTGTGAGGGGGGAGAGCTTGAGTTTCTGGCCTCATTGCCTATTTGTAAAGCTGTAGCCTAAAGGGCTCTCCCAATGCAGCCTGGTCTGAAACTGCTTTAAGAAGCCTCTGACCCTCTTCAGGGTAAGTGCTCAGCTCCCCATGTGGGTTTGGGGCCAGTGATTTTTGTTGGCATTTATACAAACAATTGGAGATATTGTCTACTTTGCTACAATTCCGTAAGTTATTGGCTAACTCCCTTGCCTTGAGTCTCACAGATCTTAAGCTTTTGGCCCATTAAAAGATATGATTTAGCTTCCCATCATGTTTTACATTCAAGGCTACTTGAGGCACAAAAAGATGATGTGACTTCCGTGGCCAGCAGCTCTTTTGTCATATGCAGTGTCCATATTATTCTGTCACTCACTTTGAATTCCCTTTGATTCTCCTTGGGGCTGATTTCTTCTGTGACCCAAGGTCAAGAAGTATAGTTTAAAAATGTGGTAGGGATGCCTTGGTGCCAGGTACGTATTAGAGAGGGGCCAACAGATGAGCGTGGAGCTACTCCAAAGTTCCCTCCTGATTATAAAAAATGTTTATTGGAAAATATTTTTGAAAATACAAAGAAGTCTATGAATAGAAACTAAAATACCCCGAAGGGTTTTTTTCTAATTATGAAAGGACAATACATGGTTATTATTTTAAAAAATAAGAAAATGTGAGCCAAAAAAGGGAAAAACTGTCCATCCACAGACAACCAGTTAATATACTGTAAAATATCAAAACAAAATCTTTTGAGTTCTTTTTTTAAATCAGGCTATTTTTTCCCCTTTATTTTTAGGATCTAGCTTTAGCTTTTTTCCCCACTTTCCTATCCTGTTGCAGTTATTTTTCCTACTTCACATTTATATTTTGTTCATCTTTTTCTGGTTGTTGCTTTTTGGGGGTTTCTGTTTTTATGCTTTTGAGGAACAGATATGAAATTTCAATTTCTGTGTATGTGAAATTTCTCTTAACCTTTTCCTTCTATGGCTTCTCCTATTTCTGATGTAAGATGAGGGGCAGAATTATAGGCCTGTGAGGTTGAATTGATATTAGAAGGACACTGCACGTAAGTGAGGTGGGTGGGAGTCATTTGATTGGAATTGTTTAGGCAGCCTCCTGATGTTGGCAAGACCTTAAGCTGAAGGGAGGGAATAGGGTCCTAAGAAAGAAGACTTGGCTGAGGGAAGGGCCTTCACGGTTGCTGTGGAATAGCATTTGGGCCCGGGCTGGGCTTTGTTGACCTTGTCCTATCTCTTGGTCAGTGTGTCCTCTTGGCATGGTAGGAAACAGGTAGATAGCCACCTAAGAGGTTATGTGTTCAGCCTGTAGAGACTATCCAGGAGGGCTATCTTGGGAAAGTTTGTGTACTGTTTGTTAGGAGATGCAGTATAAGCAAATCTTGGAGGCCACTAGGCAGGTGAACTTTACCCACCTCTAACACTTTTTTTGTTCCTTCTAAACCTCTCTTTAGGCCAAAGAACTCCAAACAAGCAGAAAGGGAAGAGAAGCGAGTCCTCGGTCTGGTGCTGCTGCGAGGGGAGAATCTGGTCTCAATGACAGTAGAGGGACCTCCTCCCAAAGATGTAAGTCAGAGCAGGAAGCCTTGTGGAGGAGGGGAGGCCCTACTGTGAGCCAGGCTCTGTGTTAGATTCTGTTTCATTGCAGTTCTCACAGGCATCCTCTGGATTTTGCCCCCTTTTTCAGATAATAAATGAAATCTTAAAGAGGTTACCCTGCAAGAGGCCGGGCGCGGTGGCTCACATCTGTAATCCCAGCTCTCAGGGAGGCAAGAGGCGGGAGGATAGCTTGAGCCCAGGAGTTCGAGACCTGCCTGGGCAATATAGCGAGACCCCATTCTCCAGAAAAAGGAAGAAAAAAAAAAAGACAAAAAAAAAAAAAAGAGGTTACCCTGCAAGAAAGAAGTGGAAAAGGGGAACTAGAATTTGGGTATCTCAGACTTTAAAGCTCTACCTGTTTCTCAGTTGATGTACATAGTGAGTCAGTGGAGGAAGCACCTGAAGCCATCTGGGTCAGTTCTTAATGTGACGACAAAGCCTAGGTAGACCTTAAAAAGTTGTAACTCCGAAACAATAGGAAATGTGTGTATTTTGTTTTGTACAGTTACAGTTCATAGTTACTGAGAATCTACCTTGCGCCAACCACTTCAGTATTTTATTTGATCCTTTAGGTCTCTTTAGAGATAAATTCTCATCTTATAAATAGAATAAACCAGGGCTTAGTAACTTGCCCAAGGTGCCACAGCCACTAAGTGGTGAAACTGACATTTGATCTCAGACAGTCTTGATTCTGTAAACACCAAGCTACACATAGAAATAGAGCAGGCTTTAGAGACCTAGTCAAATTTGTTTTCCCTTTCCCTTTTTCATTTGAAGGGTTTTTTTTTTTTTTTTTTTTAGATTTTTAGATGGAGTCTCGCTCTGTCGCCAGGCTGGAGTGCAGTGGCACGATCTTGGCTTATTGCAACCTCTGCCTCCCGGGTTCAAGTGATTCTCCTGCCTCAGCCTCCCGAGTAGCGGGGATTACAGATGTGAGCCACCACGCCCTGCCAAGACGTTATTTTAATCAAAAGAGAATAATCCTTTTAACTTTTTAAAAATCCACATATATTATCTGGATTTTTTTGTACTTAACACATAGTGGGCATATATTATGTTGTTCTGTGTTTTCACTTAATGTTAACATTTTTCTAGTTGCTCAACACTTTTAAAGTCAAGTTAATGACTGAGATTTTCTCAAATGAGTACAGAGTAGTTTATCCTAATCATTTTCTTTTTTGGAGATTTTTACGTTTTTGCCTTTTCCAGTTAAAAATGTCTGCAAGGGATGTTAGCATATCTTGGTTCAAAGTCCATGTACATATTCAAATCTCTTAGTACCTACTTCCAGTAGAATTGGCTGGTCTAACATAACCCATCATAAACCTTTGTGATCACAACCAGTTGTACCATAACCATGTCATTTGCAGATAAGGCAACTCAGCCCGGGATTGTGGGATTATTTGTCCATTGTCACCTAGCGGATTAGAATCAGCTGGGAATGGATCTCATGTCCCTTTAATGCCTTGCCTGCTGAACCCTGAGTGGAACCCTGGCCCTTTGCTCTTGGTTTAACTTTCACAGGAGTGCATATAGGTGGTTGAGTTGTGGCATGTTTCTCTAGACTTACTCTTAAGTTCTACCCTGCTTCAGGGATAACTCATAGTCTTGGATGGAGGAAGAATGGTGTTGGCACACATGGAGAGGTAGTATTTATAAGCTATTTCGATAGTATTTATAAGCTATTTCGAGGGGCTCTCTTGGCAATGATATTCCAAAGTATACTTCTGATCTTCAGATCACTGGGCATCAGAGCATATTTGTTTATTTTTCAGACTGGTATTGCTCGAGTTCCACTTGCTGGAGCTGCCGGGGGCCCAGGGATCGGCAGGGCTGCTGGCAGAGGAATCCCAGCTGGGGTTCCCATGCCCCAGGCTCCTGCAGGACTTGCTGGGCCAGTCCGTGGGGTTGGCGGGCCATCCCAACAGGTGAGGAGTTGGGGAAAGGGTACCACCTCCTGGTGGCTAAAATAAAGGATAAAGGGGAGGGTCCATAGTTTTAAAAGGGTCCAGAGTGACCAACCTGTGATTGTCAGACTATCAGTGTTTCACTGTGGTTTATACATGGCCCTAGAAGCAAGTGAAAAGGATAAGTTGCCATTGTAAATTATGTTGATGCTATTAAAGAGATGTACGAATTAGCCAACTGTATTTAAGGAAAATATTTCCATGACAGCATTTGAAATCATGAGTCATATTTGAAAATGCAGTTGCCTTCTCTCACTTGGATTGGACATGCTTACATTCAGGTCTAGAAGATGGGAGTTGGGCATTCAAGCTTGATCTTTCCCGACATGTGGTTTTGGATGGGAAGTCTGGTGCTGAGAGTTGTAGCATTAAGGGATTTGGTGTCTGTTATTTCCCACTGTCCTTCCCCAAGTTGGGGAGGAGAGTGGGAAGCTGCATTGTACTGTACTCTTCTAACTCTTTCTTCTTATGTCCTCTTAGGTGATGACCCCACAAGGAAGAGGTACTGTTGCAGCCGCTGCAGCTGCTGCCACAGCCAGTATTGCCGGGGCTCCAACCCAGTACCCACCTGGCCGTGGGGGTCCTCCCCCACCTATGGGCCGAGGAGCACCCCCTCCAGGTGAGGAGCCCATAAGGAGACCAGTGCTAATTGATAGAAGATGCCTTAGCTGGATTAATGATGAGATATAACCTTGACTGAAGCTGATGATGAGTTTGTATAATTAAGCAGGATTACTCTGAGATCCAGCGTGGCTGACTGATGAGACTAGGTGGACAAGAGCCATTGGGAGCCCTGGGTGTTAGGCTCAAATGTCAGTTTTCTGGGAGCTGCTGAGAGGGTGGAATGGTCCATCTATCTCAGAACTTGGTGGAAAGCTTTGTAGTTTTTTTGCTACCTTTTCAAGATAGACACTTGAGCTATATTCTTGGGGCTTTTCTCTTGCAGGCATGATGGGCCCACCTCCTGGTATGAGACCTCCTATGGGTCCCCCAATGGGGATCCCCCCTGGAAGAGGGACTCCAATGGGCATGCCCCCTCCGGGAATGCGGCCTCCTCCCCCTGGGATGCGAGGTAAGTGCCTGCAGTGGTGACTTTGGCTTCTTTCCCTAGAGCCTAGTGGGATAGGAAATGGAGGGAAGATTGCATTTAGATCATATCCCATGGGCTTTCAAGCCTTAAATCTAGGGAAATCCAGAAAGGAAAGAGAAGAGGGAACATTTCTTAAATTGGGCTTACCTCCCCTCTTAGAAAAGTTAGAGCAGCCATGCACCCAGGGTGTTTCTCAATATCTAAGGCAGCGGCCTCAGGACACAATGAAATAATGCATTCTGAGGATCCCTAACAGAAGTTATGAGATTGTCTTATGCTCTTTGGTTTGACAGTGCCTAGTAATTAAGAGGGGGCTCTGGGCTTTGCTGTACTATTATGGATTTCTCTTTAACTTCAGTTGGAGAAATTCTGAGATCAGTCCCCACATGGATGAGAAAATAGGCCCCCAGGGAGTTTGGACTCCAAGCCCAGTGTTCTTTCCCTATAAGATAACCCATGGGCAAACTTGGTGACCCCTGTTTCTCTAGTCTGGATTATTCCTCTATGGGTTTTTATAGACATAGGAACCCAGTCAGCCTCAGAGTAGTCCCTAGTTAGCACATATGCCATGTATACCCCTCTCCTCACTCGATTACTGCAGGGCGTGGGAGGCTGGGGCAGGGTTGGGGATTCAAGTTGCAGATCAGGCACTGACTAAACTTCTTACTCTTACTTCAGGCCTTCTTTGACCCTTGGCCACAGAGTATGGAAGTAGCTCCGCAGAGGCGTGGGCTCGATTCCTCAGGGCCACGTTACCACAGACCTGTTTGTTTCTTATGCTGTTGTTCGTGGAGTCTCATGGGATTGTCTGGTTTCCCTTACAGGGCCCCCTCCCCCGGGAATGCGCCCACCAAGGCCCTAGACTCATCTTGGCCCTCCTCAGCTCCCTGCCTGTTTCCCGTAAGGCTGTACATAGTCCTTTTATCTCCTTGTGGCCTATGAAACTGGTTTATAATAAACTCTTAAGAGAACATTATAATTGCACCTATGGATCTTTATTTTTAGAAAAATCTTTGATATATTGGGTGCTTAATAGAGTCAAGAAGGGTTGCCTTGGAAAAAATTAACCCTGATCTTACCTTCTTCCCTATAAAATGTTTTACTACCCATTTGCATCTGTACATCCTCATACACTAAGATACTTACAAAATTGAACATTTTCACTTATCAGATTCAAAGATCAGTTTTGTTGAAATCAGTACCCATAATATCCTCTTGGGAAGGCACTTGTCTAGATAGCTTCTCCATGAAGCAAATGCTAAAAATGAAAATTCTGCTGGGAGAGGAACAATTTTGGCATAACTTTCTGCCAGGGTCACACACGTAACATATAACCTAACGTAACTTTTGAATTGTGGTATCTTCATGAGTTCTTCCACCCAAAGCCTGTGTTCACTGAGCAGCACTCTAGTACTTAGTGCATCAAGCTCTAAGGGTACAAAAATAAGGTGAACACTGTTGTAAAGTTACTGTGTAGGGGGAAGATAATTGTAAATGCAATCAGTGGTACTTACCACATTAATGGAAGAAAAAAGCCATAGGATCTTCTCAACAGATGCAGAAAAAACATTTGAGATGATTTCAACACCCTTTGATGATAAATACACCCAGCAAATTAGGAGTAGAAGGGAATTTTTTTTTTTTTTAAAGAGATGGCGGGGTGCAGGCATGAGTCACTGCACCCAGCTCAGAAGGCAATTTTTAAACAAGATTAAGGGATTTATGAAACACAGCTAACATAATAGTGAAAGACTGAAAGTTTTACCCTTATGATTAGGAACAAGACAAGGGTTCCCACTTTGGCCACTTTCAACATTGTACTGGAAGTTCTAGCCAGAACGATTAGGCAAGAAAAAGAAGAATTGGAATTGGAAAGGAAGAGGTAAAACTATCTCTGCAGAAGATATCCTGTATATAGAAAACCCCATCAACTAGATAGCTACTAGAGCTAATGAGTGAATTCAGCAACGTTTTAGGGTACAAGATCACATAAAAACTATTCCATACACCACCAACAAACAATCTGAAAAGGAAATGGAAGAGAATTCCAGTTAGGATAGCAACCAAAAGAATACCTAAGAATCAAAGCAAGCAATACCAGAATACCCAGGAATCAATCAAACCAAGGTGAAAACTACAAATCCTGAAAGAAAACTAAGTAGATGAGGAAAGCCAACATGTTCATGGATCCAGACTTACTATTAAAGTAACAAATAATAGTCTCCAAACATTCAATGTAATCCCTATAATAATTCCAGTGGTCATTGCAGAAATGGAGAAGCTAATCCTCATATATATGAAGCTACAAAAGGCCCCAAATAGCCAAAACAATCTTGATCACATTAGAAGTCTCACAAAACCTACAAAATTGTAATAAACACTGCATCTGGCATAAAGATAGACAATGGATAGATGAGAGTACAGAAATAAACCCTTACATAAATGGTCAATTGATTTTCTGCAGTGGTACCAAAACCATCTATTGGGAAAAGAGTAGTCTTTTCAGATGGTGCTGGGACAACTGGATAACCACATGTAAAAGAATGAAGTTGGAACTCTACCTCATATGCCTTCATTTATCACTCATTAACTCAAAATTGGTAAACAATCTGTAAGAGCTAGATCTAGAAGAAAATGAGTAAGTCCTCATCACCTTGGATTTGGCAATGGATTATTGCATTGGACATTGAAAACAAGCAACAGAAGAAAAAATATGTAAATGGGACTTCATCAAAATTAAAAACTTGTACATCCAAGAATGGTGAAGAATGAAAAAAAAACTTATGGAAGGGGAGAATATTTTTGCAAACGATATGATAGTCTGATATCTGTAGTTTGCTATTTGAACTATAAAAAATTCTTAATAAAAAAGATAACCTTTTTCAAAAATGAGAGGAATTGAACAGATATTTCTCCAAAGAAGATACACAAATGGCCAAAAAGCACATGAAAACTGGTTCAACATCATTGGTTATTAAAGAAATGCAAATCAAAACTACAATGAGATGCCGGTTCATACCCACGAGGATGGCTTATTTATGAAAAAAATAACTCTTGGTGAGGGTGTGGAGAAACAGGAACCCTCATGCATTGCTGGTGAGAACGTAAAATGGTGTAGCCCCTATGGAAAACAGTGGCAGTTCCTGAAAGCTGAACAGAATTACTATATGGCAATTCCACTCCTAGATATATGTATCTGTGGTAATATGAAATATATTTAGCCTTTTTTCCTGGTTCTTATCACAGCAACTGAAAAACACTTGGAATTTCCTGTGTAATGGGATAATACGTGAGTTCATGACTTAGAGTGGGACCCCTAGCTAGCCTCAGGATGGGGCCAGCCACCAGAAAGACCAAGTGATGAGAGGGTTGGAACTTTCACTCCCACCCACCAGCCTCCTGGAGCAGAGGTGGCTGGAGATAAAGCTCTATAAAAACTCGTCAACAATAAGATTTGATGAGCTCTTCCCAAAAGCTAAACTGCCCTTATAAAACTAGTGAAAGACCCTCAAGTGAAGAGGATGAGAGGGGCCTGAATTCTACCAAGACGTAGGCCTGTTGAGTTCAGAAGCAAGATGGAGTCAGCCATGTCAGATTTCTCTTACTGTCACTTTTGCAAAGGTAGTTTGATACACAGAAACTTGTATACAACTGGTTTTAGCAGAATTATTCATAACAGCCCAAAGGTGGAAACAACCCAAAATATTCAACATATAATGGATAAACAAATTGTGGTATATACTGTCAACCTAAATAAACGGAGGCCGTAAAAGAAAATGATACCTATTCATGAATGGGGCATTGCAGTGGGAGTCCATGTGCCATACTATGCGTATTCAGGGAGGTAAAGGAAGACAGATTAAAAGGAAAAACAAGGATTATGTAATTGTCTTGGGATAACTATCCCTAACTCCAGGGATTAATAACAAGTCCTGGTGGCACCAGTCTGAGGTTGAACAAGCAGAAGTCCTTGCAGAAATATTTTTGTATGTATATAAGGTTGCAGTGGCCTTTGTGCAAGGTTGTGTTTTTACAGTCTTTTGTAGTAGTTTTTTTTTTTTTTTTTTTTTTTATCATTTATGCATCAGAATCCTCCCTTCATAGCCTTTCGGCTTTGGCAGGGTTTTTTAAAAGACATACAAGTGACTCCATTTTGGTTCTGACAACTTTCACAATACATACAATGGAATATAATAGAGCTGAAAAGAAAGAAATATTGATACATGTTACCATGTAGATAAACCTAGAAAACATTGTGTAGTGTGAAAAAAGCCAGACACAAAAGATCATCTATTATATAATTGCTTTTATATGGATATTTGCTACCCGTAATAGATAAATCTGTAGAGACAGCAGATTAGAGGTTTCCAGGGGTGGGAGCAGCAGGAAATGGAGTGCCTACCTAATGGGAATAGGATACTTTTATAGGGCGAGAGCTGGTGGTTTTACAGCCTTGTGAATACACTCAAGTTACTGAGTTGTGATTGTTAAAATGGTTAATTGTTGCTATGTGAATTTCATCTCAAAAAAAAAAGTTTCTTCACAGAAAAAGTTTACTAAGGCTTTTTGTTGTGGAAAGGATATTCCCAGTGGAGGAAAAGGCTGAGTAAAGATGAAGTTGGTCCAGGTTTATTAGAATAAGGACATCAGGGAGGTGAGTTTGGCATCAGCTTTTGGTAGAGCCAATGGTTGGCTCAGTGTCACAGGAACCCTGAGTAGCACAAACTGCAAAGGCAGCTAGCTTCCCACTTCCCTGACAGGTGTGATCCAAAAGGGTTTTATACTCCCAGCCTGAGCTAAAAGGCAGTAGTCTTTTTTTTTTTTTTCCCCCTTGTTTTGAGACAGAGTCTTGCTCTGTCACCCAGGCTGGAGTGCAGTGGTGTGATCTCGGCTCACTGCAACCTCGGCTTCCTGCCTCAGCCTCCCGAATAGCTGGGACTACAGGCATGCACCGCAACGCCCGGCTAATTTTTGTATTTTTAGTAGAGACAGGGTTTCGCCACGTTGGCTAGGCTGGCCTCAAACTCCTGACCTCAGGTGGTCCGCCTGCCTTGGCCTCTCAAAATGCTGGGATTGCAGGTGTGAGCCACCATGCCTGGCCAGTACTCTTATTTTTATTATGCAAATAATAAGGATAATCACGCAAAGGAAAAAAAAGCAGTCACACGTTGGCTAATGGTTAGCACAGTAAAAATTCTGTATCCTCAAAACTACTCTTGAAAATCTACTCAAACTCTCTTGAAGTACAGCATATATGGTTTTGTGTATACAACCCTTCATAGAAAAATCTTAGGCACGCTGGCTTTTGAGAATCACTGACAAAGAGAAAGAACAAAAGGAAAAGTCTGTAATCAGACATCTGGGTATTCTGACCATTGTATCGTTAAGGTAACTCCCAAGTCTCTGGTGGTGAAAGAAGTCTGGATGGAGAATTTGAATGTGCTCTCACCTATATGAGCTCTATTCCAGTTTTCATAGTAAGTGTCTATAACCTTAGTTCACGTCAGTAAATTGGTCTGTGGCTGCGAGGACTAAGTAAGAGATTAAAGGCACTAGGTTTGCTGTTGAACTTAAATTTGTATTCTGGCGAGGAACGGTGGGTGGCCACGCCTGTAATCTCAGCACTTTGGGAGGCTGAGGTGGGTGGATCACTTGAGGCCAGGAGTTTGAGACCAGCCTGGCCAACATGGTGAAACCCTGTCTCTACTAAAAATACAAATATTAGCCGGGCATGATGGTACGCACCTGTAATCCCAGCTACTCAGAAGGCTGAGGCACGAGAATCGCTTGAACCTGGGGCGGGGGTGTTGCAGTGAGCAGAGATCATGTCAGTGCACTCCAGCCTGGGCGACAGAGCAAGACTGTCTTAAAAAAAAAAATTGCATTCTGCTTGGTCAGGCCCACAGGCATGCTATTCCATAGTTCATGTATTCTGTTTTTTTAAAAAACATACTTAAACATGCTCATTAAAGAATGATTGTAGAAATAAAATACTGTGTCCCAGCCCCCCAAATATTCAATGCTAGCTTTTTCTCTACTTGTTGGGTTTCATCATCTTACTATATGGTCAACTCTCTATTTCTCTTAACATCAAAACATCAAAAACCTATCCCCAATCTTTGCAAACATTATGATTTTAGTATCTCATTAAATGAAACACTTAACCAATTTACTTAACCAATCCTCTGTAGTTGAACATTTAGCTTAGTTTTTTTCACCAACAAATAATGTGATGACCATATTTTTGCAAAGATTGTTCTATTTTTAAATACTTAAAAATGGAATTTCTGAGTCAAAGTCTATAATAAAAGCTTGAGTCAGTTTGCCCTGTTACAAATCGGTCACAACTACACCTTTCACACCATGCTCCTCAGAATTAATGATTCTCATTGAGAAACACACTTTTCTAGTTTGACAGCTGAAAAATGTACATCATTGTTATATTGTTACATTCTTTTTAAGGAATAGTTTTGACTTTTTTTTTAAGAGACAGAGTGTCACTCTGTCACCCAGGCTGGAGTGCAGTGGTGCAATCTTAGCTCATTGCAGCCTTGAACTCTTGGGCTTAAGCCATTCTCCTGCCTCAGCCTCCAGAGTAGCTGGGACTACAGGCACACTCCACCAATGCCCAGCTAATCCTTCCTAACTCCCTCCCCGACTCCTTCCTTCCATCCTTCCTTCCTTTCCCCTTTCCTTTTCTTTCCTCTGTCTCTCCTCTCCCCTTCCCTTCCTCCCCTCCTCTTCTTTTCTCTCTTCCCTTCCCTTCCCTTTCCTTTTCTTTCCTTTCTCTTTTCTTTTCTTTTCTTTTTTTTTTGGTAGACACAGGGTCTCACTTTATTGCCCAGGCTTGTTTTCACTTTTAAATTACCTATGTCCTCTTTTGTATATTGTCTTTAAAAAAAAAAACAAACCTCTGATAGACATTTTTCATGTTGTTACACAAGTCTTAATGATTACTAGTGGGTGTAATCTAACTTGGGCATTGCTCTTATTTTGGGAATTCATATTGTTTTTGATTTTTCGTAACTGTAAATCAGGCAATGCTGGATAATTTGCGTAAAAGTATTTTTTATTTGGCGTTTCTAAGTTTTTAGGAGCAACAATCATGATTCAAAGGCAGGGGCTGGAAAGAAGGAAACTGTCATTTATTGAACGAGGCGTGTGCATGACCTATCTCTGGAAGTCTGTATATAACGAATTGGCCAGTTTGGTTGCCTGTGGGGAAAGGAACCTGGTTTGAGAGGAGTAGAAAAGGAAGGGAGAATTTTCACTGAATACCATTTAGAACCTTTTAAATATTAAGCCTGGCGCAGGTGGCTCACGCCTGTAATCCCAGCACTTTGGGAGGCCGAGGCGGGCGGATCACCTGAGGTCGGGAGTTCGAGACCAGCCTAACCAACATGGAGAAACCCCGTCTCTACTAAAAATACAAAATTAGCCGGTCGTGGTGGCGCATGCGTGTAATCCCAGCTACTTGGGAGGCTGAGGCAGGAGAATAGCTTGAACCCGGGAGGCGGAGGTTGCAGTGAGCCGAGACCACGAAATTCCATCTCAAAATAAATAAATAAATAAATATTGAACCATTAAGCGCCTTACCTAGTTAAAATTAATTGCATTTAAAAAAAGTGTGAAATAATGTGTGTTTTTAAAAAAAACCCCATCAAATCCACACGGGGGCAGCATTGCTTTACAGGGAGGAAGGGAGCCGCAAAGGCGTGGGCTCAGCCTTAGCATGGGTGCTGGGATCGTGACTTACATTTTTTTCTCATTTTCTGTATTGTCCCCATTTTCTACTAAGACCTATATAGAAATAAAATACATTTTATTTAAAGAGAGAAGGAAGTGTCAGGCCCCGTCCCTCTTTAGCCGTGTAGCCATACCTCTGTATTTAAATTCGTAAAAGTAGAATTCTGAGGAGCGAGGGGGCCTGGGTGACATCTGAAGTATTTGGCAGGGGGTCGGGCGCAGTGGCTCACTCCTGTAATCCCAGCACTTGGGGAGGCTGAGGCGGGCGGACGACTTGAGGTCGAGACCAGCCTGGCCAGAATGGCAAAACCCCATCTCTACTAAAAACACAAAAATTAGCCGGGCATGGTGGCACACGCCTGTAATCTCAACTACTCGGGAGGCTGAGGCAGGAGAATCACTTGAACCCAGGAGGCGGAGGTTGCAGTGAACTGAGATTGTGCCACTGCACTCCAGCCTGGGTGACAGAGCAGCGGGAGAGTCCATCTCTAAATAAATAAATAAAATACAATAAGTATTGGTAGATATGCCGAACAGATAGCCCTCTAGTTGTATTATTCTATGCTATTAATAAGAGTGTACACCGATGCCTGTCCCCAACATACTTGCCAATACAGTGTATTGTTATTTTGCTAGATCTTGTTCAATCTGATAAAAAATATCTCCTTGTTTTAATTGTATATGTTTAGTTATAAAGGAGGCTAATTATGTTTTTATGGAGTTAAAAAGCAGTATTTTTCTGTGAACTACTTCCCCCACTCTAACGAGGGCAGGGAATTTGTCTATGTTGTTCCCACTGCTCTGTGCGCACAATACATATTGTTGAATGAATGAATGAATGAATGAATGAATGATAAATAACTTTTCTGAGCTCCAGTTTCCTCAGCTATAGAATGGGGGTGTGTCTTGTAGTTGCCTCACTGGAGGGTGGCATTGACCCTCCCTCTCCATCCAACTGTGGTTGGTCATCTGCCACGGAGGATTCTACACATGCACCAAGAGGCATGAAAAGACTGACATCATGAGGCTTTCTGGGGAGAGCAGGGCAGGCTCCCTAGCAGGTCCAAAATGGTTTGAGGGAGTGATGCCTTGTATTGAAGCCCACACACAATGCTTCATGTAGGTTATGTCAGCAAATACTAGTTGACAGGAAGGAAAGATTATATCCTTGGGGGAAGGATTGGTTGGTAAAGCTGAACATATGCATATCCTGTGATTCAGCAATTCCATTCCTACATACATACCCAACAGAAATACTGACATGTGTTCACGAAAAAACAGGTACAAGAATATGTGTAGCAACTCTATTCATAATAGCTCCAAACTGGGAACTGCCCAAACAGCATTGTATAATGGACAAATTATAGTGTTTCCAAAAATGGAATATTACACATCAAAGAGCACAAAAGATCCACAATAACACACAGCGGTATGAATGAATATACTATACAAAATGTCAAGGACAGAAGCCAAAGGCCAAACACAAAAGCGCGCGTACTGTGTCACTCCACTCATATAAAGTACAAAAACTCATCTTTGCTTCTACAGTTCAGGATAATGGTTACCCTGGAAGGGACACAAAGGGGAGCTTCCAGGGTGCTGATAATGTTCTGTTTCTTGATCTGAGGGCTGGTTCCCTGGGTGGGTTCAGTTTGTGGAAAAAATTCAGTGAGCTGCACATTTTTGATATAAATACATTTTAATATATATGTTAAGCCCCTATAAAAATTAAAAAACAAAAGAAAGCAAAAATAGACTAGTCTGAAGGTAGTGATATATCTCCGTTGATTGTTCACAGTCAAAGATTGAATTCTTTGGTCTACTTTTCCCCCCTTCTCACTACTGATCTTGACTAGTCTTAAAAAAAAAAAAAAAAAGCAAAATTCCTCAATGGAGAAAAACGTACAGGAAAAGTTGCCGTCTTGTTAGCTGTGGTAGTGTCTAGGTGATGAGACTATGGTTGGGGTTTTCCCTTCTCCTCCTGTATGCTTCCAGTTTACTATAATTCACTCATTAATCCAAGGCATATTAAAATGCGTACTATGTGCTAGGTACTGTTCTGTTCAACTCTCCTGGGTACAAGAGGGAACAAAATAGAAGAATTCCCTGTCCTTGATAGTTTACATTCTAGAAAGGGGAGATGGACAGTAAAGAATAAACATGTAAATAAACGATGTCAAATGGTAATAATTGCTATGGAGAAAAGTAAACAGGGAGAGTCCTGTCAACACGGATCTATTTCATTAGGGTGGTCAGGAAAGGCTCTAGTGATCAAGAGCAACTTGGGCAGAAACCTGTAGGAAATAAGGGAAAAAGCCACGCAGATATGGTTGGGAATTGAGAAAAAGAATTCCAGGTAGAGGGTAGAGCAATGGCAAAGGCATTGAGGTGGGTATTAGCTTTATTTTTCAAAGAATATCAAGAAGGTCACAATGCCAGTTACCAATTTATTGCATCTCAGCTCCAAATCCACCCTTCAGGGCCTGCTCTGTAGAATAGACTCTTAATAGTTTTTGTCAGCTGGCACAATGTTAAGGTTGGCCGGTAGAGGGTGCTGGAGAGACAGTGGAGGAAGACGGGCTTGCTTTCCAGGTTCTGGAGTCTGGAGTTCCAGGTCTTAGCAGTTCTGCAGCCTGCCCTGTTTCCCTAGGGCCTGGCTCACAGCCTCAGTGATTTCTCCAGCACCAGGCTTCTGTAAGGAAGATGGCTTTTACAATGCATGGTGGCCATCAGCACCCAGCAACCAGCAGCTGCTTTTGGCACCTCCTGGGATGATTTTGTAACAGAGTGCCTCTAGGGAGATGGCTCACCATGAATGGCTTTCCCTGGTATCCCATTGGGCGTATTTCCAGCAAGTTCCACCAGTGAGGCACCACAGTGACTTCTCTGAACACTGAACCACAGCATGCGCTGTCCAACGAAGCCTGGCCCTCAACCTTGTTGGGGTGACGGGAGTGTGCTCTTCCTTGGGCACTCTAGGGATAGTAGATGTCCCTTAATTCTGCAATTCCAGCATCCTTTGGCATTCTCTTTATTTCTTACTAGCTCACCCCTGTGAAAATTGACTATACAAATTGAGGCCATTCTCGTCATAGCCAACTAAATCAGAGTTGAGGGGCCAGGGGAAAAAATCACTCTGGGAACATAGCACCTACTCCAAGAATTAAATTTTCCACACACCCAGCTGCTAAATGTCCTATTGTAACCCTAAGACCAGTGTTACCTAGAAGCTGCTGAAATAACGTGCCACGCCTCTAAGACTGGTTTTACCCACAGCTGCCACTCACCAGTCAGAGCTTGCCAGCTCCCAAATCTCTAATGCCAATGAACTTTCTTTCAAAACGGTACATAACGTTACTTTTTCCAGTTAAACTCCCAACCTTCTCTTTGTTCTTTGGACATACTGAAGACATCCTGGTCTATGTGTGTGTCCTGAGTTGCAATTCTTGCTTTCCAAATAAAATGTTTTAAGTGTAGAGATTCATCTCTGTATTTTTATTTTCACCTCAACACCTTCCAATTCCTCCAACTCCCTGTTACGGTAAATAATTCTCTATATTAAATTTCCCTCCCACAAATTACTGTATGGTTTCTATCTTAGTAGACCCTGATTGATACAGTCACTCTGGCGTTAAAGGAGCAAGAGAATAAAGGGTAGGAGATGAAGTCAGAGAGGATCCAGGGTTCCTGGAGGACATTTGTTTTCACTGAGTGAGAGGGGTCATCCATGGAGGGGATTTGAGCAAAGGAATGATATGATGTGACTTAGATTTTTTCAGAAGCTCCCCGTGGCTGCTTAAAAGGAGGAGAAGGGACAGAAAGTGAGGTAGGAGCAGAAGCGGTGAGACCAGTGAGGAGGCTACGGTCATATTGCAAGCAACAGATGATGGGGGCTTGGATCAGGCTGTGGTTGTTGGTGGTGTTGAGAGACAGATGAATTCTGGGTACCTCTTGAAGGTCAAACTGGCAGGATTTGAAGTTGGATTTAATGAGGTGAGGGAGAAAAACAGGGATAAAGAATAATTCAAGGGTTTGGACCTAAAAAGCTAAAATGATAGAGTTTTCTTTGACAGTGAAAGGGGGCAAGAATTCCCCCGTGAAAGGGGACAAGGAATTCCATTTTGGATTTATTAAATTACACACAACAAATCGAGGACCATTAATTTAAGAAAATCTACCAAAGGATGGAAGGCTTATGTGCTCAAGTCCCCTTGTGCTTAATCACAAGCACAACCTCTGACTAATCATATGCTGATTCGGGGGTGACTTCTAGGAAGTCAGACAATAATAAAAACAAGAATTAAAAACAAACAAACAAAAAAAACAACCCACAGAGACATCAGCCCTCACCCAGGGCTAGGGAAATAGGTTCCACAGAATTAATCCAGCCAAATCCAGGAAGCAAAAAGCCAAATAACAGCAGTAACAACCACCCCTCCTGGGGAAATCAGAATTCAGAGTTGCAACAATATATTACGTAACATGTCCAGTCTTCCACAAAAAATTAAGAGGCATGAAACCCCCTCTCTTCTCTCTCTCTCTCTCTCTCTCACACACACACACACACACACACATGCACACGCACACCAGGAAAGTATGACTCATATATAGAAAAAAGCAGTCAATACACAAAATCTCTGAGGGCACCCAGATGTTAGACTTAGCAGACACAGGGTTCACAGCAGCTATTATAAATATGTTGGCTTAACAAATCTATGGACATCCCCCAACTCCCAGCAACAGTAGAATACACTCTTCTCGAGCACCCATTGAACATTCTCAAGAATACACATGTGCTAGGCAATACAACAAATCTCAATTAATTTTGTTATATTTATATTTTTCCATCAGCTGCCTCAAGTTGAACATTTTTTTCGTAGAGATGGGGTCTTGCTATGTTGGCCAGGCTAGTCTTGAACTCCTGAGCTCAAGTGATCCTCCTGCCTTGGACTCCCAAAATGTTGGGATTATAGGTGTGAGCCACTGCACCTGGCCTGTAATTTTTTTTAATTAAACTTTTTATTTTGAGGTAACTATCAATTCACATGGCTTTGCAAGAAACAATAGACAGACATACTTATATATTACCCAATTTGTCCCAATGGTAACATCTTGCAAAACTATAGCAAATCAACACAACCAGGATATATCACATCCAGGATATTGACATTGATACAGTCAAGATAGAGAACATTTGCAACATAACAAAGTTCTTTGTGTGATTGTGTTGTCTTTTTATAACCCCGCCCACTCATTCTCACTCCCACACCCTCCTTAACCTCAGGCAACCACTAATCTCTTCTTTAGATCTATAATTTTGTTGTTTCAAGAATGTCATATAAATGGAATCATACAGTATGTAACCTTTTAGGATTGACTTTTTTCACTCAGCATACTTCTATGGAAGTTCCTCCAGATGTTGCAAGTGCCAATAATTTATTCCTTTTTATCACTGAGTAGTATTCTGTGGTATGGATGTACCACAGGTTAACTACTCACAGGTTGAATGACATCCAAGTTGTTTCATTTATTGCTATTGTGAATAAGGCTGCTACAAACATTCATGTACAGGTTTTTGTGGGAACACAAATTTCATTTCCCTGGGATGAATGAACAGGAGTGCAATTGCTGGGTTATATGTTAGTTGCAGGTTTAGTTGTTTTAAGAAAATGCCAAACTCGTTTTCAGAGTGGCTATAACATTTTACATTTACATCAGCAATAGATGAATAACCAAGTTTCTTTGCATTCTTGCCAGGAAGGAAGGTGTTGTCACAATTTTTTTTTTTTTTTTGCCATTCTGTTCTTATATAGAGACATTTCATTGTGGTTTTAATTTGCATTTTCCTAATGACTAATAATATTGAACATCTTTTCATGGCAGATGGCTTATTTGCCATCTGCACATTCTATTCAGTGAAAAGTTTATGTCTTTTGGCCATTTTCTTTTTCTTTTTCTTTTCTTTTCTTTTTTTTCTGAGATGGAGTCTCGCTCTGTTGCCCAGGCTGAAGTGCAGTGGTGCGATCTCGGCTCACTGCAACCTCTGCCTCCGGGTTCAAGAGATTTCCAGTGAATTTTTGTATTTTTAGTAGAGACAGGGTTTCACCATGTTAGCCAGGCTGGTCTTGAACTCCTGACCTCAAGCGATTCGCCTGCCTCAGCCTCCCAAAGTGCTAGGATTACAAGTGTGAGCCAATGGGCCTGGCCATTTTCTTAATTAGATTGTTTTTTACTGTCACCTCTTGCTCTGAGCCTCTTTTGATGTGTTAACAGAATATTGGAATCTTTATTCATTACTTTACCCTCAGCTTCTATTCCTTCATTTTGTTAAGGACTTTTGCATCTATATCAGTGAGGGTTATTGGTTTATAGTTTTCTTTTTTGTGCTGTCTTTGACTGGCTTTGGTATAAGGGTAATATTAACTTCATAAAATGGGGTGGGAATGCCACCCCCCTCTCTTTTCTGGAGGGGATTGTGTAGAATTGGTGTTAATTTTTCTTTAATATTTGGTAGAATTCTCTAATGAAATAATCTGGTCCTGGAGGGTTTTTTTGAGAGTTAGAAAATTACAAATTAAAACCTTAATAATAATAGGGCTATTTTAATGATCTATTTCATATTGAGTGACTTGCAATAGCATATTTTTCAAGAAATTGGTCCATTTCTTTTAAGTTGTAGAATTTTCTCTTTTTATTATTTTGATGTCTTCAGGGTCTATGGCGATATCCTGTTTCATTCCTGATATTGGTAACTTATGTGTTCTCTCAATTTTGGGGGATCAGTCTTGCTAGAAGTTTATCAACTTTATTGATCTTTTCAAAAAATAACTCTTTGTTTCATTTCATTAATTTTCTCTATTGTTTTTCTGTTTCTTTCTTTCTTTCTTTCTTTTTTTTTTTTTTTGAGACAGAGTCTCACTTACTCTGCCACCGAGGCTGCAGTGCAGTGGTGCGATCTCTGCTTGCTGCAACCTCCGCCTCTTGAGTTCAAGTAATTCTCCTTCCTCAGCCTCCCAAGTAGCTGGCATTACAGGCGCCCACCACAATGCCCGGCTAATTTCTGCGTTTTTTGTGGAAACATAGTTTCACCATGTTGGCCAGGCTGGTCTCGAACCCTTGACCTCAAGTTATCTGCTTGCCTCGGCCTCCCAAAGTGCTGGGATTATAGGCATGAGCCACCTCACTCAGCCTGTTTTTCTGTTTCTTATTTTGTTGATTTTCATGATTATTTCCTTTCTTATGCTTCCTTTGAGTTTAATTTGCTCTTCTTTTTCTAGACTCTTTTTTTTTGAGACAGTGTTTTCTCTTGTTTCCCAGGCTGGAGTGCAATGGCGCGATCTCGGCTCACTGCAACCTCCACCTCCTGGGTTCAAGTGATTCTCCTGCCTCAGCCTCTTGAGTAGCTTGGATTACAGGCATGCGCCACCACGCCCAGCTAATTTCGTATTTTTAGTCGAGACGGGGTTTCTTCATGTTGGTCAGGCTGGTCTGGAACTCCCAACCTCAGGTGATCTGCCCGCCTCGGCCTCCCAAAGTGCTGGGATTACAGGCATGAGCCACTGCGCCCTGCCAGATGGCAATCTTTTATTGAATAGTGCTGCTCCTTGTGGAGCAGGGCTAACTCATAGGCAGTGCACCCAGAGTCGGCAAGGTGTTGGCAACTGTATTTTACCCACTTACAATTACATGCAAATTAAGGGGCAGGTTGATGCAAATTGAGGGTGTGGGCTACTTAGAACTTTGTAGGAAAGGAGTGGTAACTTCTGCATTGTTGCCATGGAAAGGGGCAGTAACTTCTGCGTCGTTGCCATGGCATTTGTAAACTGTCATGGCACTGGTGGAAGTGATTTATGCTAATGAGCAACGAGGGCAACTAAGGATTACTTTTGTCACCATCTGCTGGTTTCAGCCAGTTTCTTTACTTCATCCTATCTGAATCAGATACTATTTTGTTCAGCAGGGTTGTGACTAGAAAACAAGTTCTGCTGGTCTCTAACCTCAAATTAATCTGTTTTCAAGTTTGCTTATTCTTTCTTCTGTCAGCTCGTATCTGTTCTTGAGCCCCTCTATTAAAATTTTTATTTTATTTATTATAGTTTTCAACTCCAGAAGTTCTGTTTAGTTCTTTGGTATGGTTTCTATCCATTATTGATATGCTTTATTTGGTGAGCCATTTCCTTATACTTAAAAACATTTTTTTACACATAGCTTTTTTTTTAGTTCTTTGAACATATTTAAAACAGCTATTTAAACTGTCTAGTAAATCCTATATCTGGGCTTCCTCAGGAACAGTTATCATTGAGTTTTTAAAATTTTCTTGGGTATAGGCTATATTTTCTTAGTTCACTGTATGTCTCGTATATTTTTTGAAAACTGGACATTGAAAATAATGTGGCAACTCTGGAAGCCAGAGTTCACTGCTCTCCAAGGGCCTGTTGTTATTTTTGTTGTTCATTCAGTGACTTTCTTGTATTAATTCTTTAAAGTTGTGTATTGCCACTGGACTCTCTGCTCAATTAGCTTAGTAGTCAGCTAATTATTGAGCACAGATTCCCTTAAATGTCTTGAACCAATAAGCTCCCCAGCCTTTGATGAGGAGCTCCTTGTGTATGTTAGGACATACCTTCAATTCTCAGGCAGGAAGTTTACAGCTATTCCTTATCCTCTACTTCCTTCTTGTGTAGCACCTGTGGTCAGCCAGAGGTGAAAATTTAGGTCATCTTAAGTTATTCCTAGGCAGGTGTATAGGAATAACTTAGGAAGCCCTGGGCAGGTGTACAGTCCTATGCATACAAATGGCCTCCTAGATTTCCAGATGTATGTTGGAGCTTTTTAAAGTCCCCTGTGGACATCTCATTTCTCATCTTTTAATATTTTTGGTCAGCTTTTTGTTTACCCTATTTTAGGTAGCTTTGATGCCCCAACTTTAGGTAGTTTTGATGTTAAACAATTTCCACTGCTTGTTTTCAACATACTCCTAGGGGAAAGAGTCTATTTGTACTGAGCAAGCTCTGAGTCAGCTCAAATAAAAAGAAACCCTACAAGTGAAGATTTTAGGGAACCACCAGAGAGGTCAAATAATAATCATTCACTGAGAATGATGTTTTGGAGGAGCTCAAAACCTGTTCTTCCCTTTCCAGTGTCTGCCAAGCTACTGATTTTCACTATAATTGCAGGGATGTTGGTTTTCAAGACAACCAAGGAGATGGGAAGTTAAAACACTACAAAGAGGCCGAGCAGGGAGGCCCATACCTGTAATCCCAGCACATTGGGAGGCTGAGGCAGGTGGATCTCTTGAGCCCAGGAGTTTGAGACCACCCTGGGCAACATGGTGGTACCCTGTCTCTACAAAAAGTACAAAAGTTAGCTGGGCGTGATGGCATGTGCCTGTAGTACCAGCTTCCCAAAAGGCTGGTGGGAGGATCTCTTGAGCCCAGGAGGTGGAGGTTGCAGTGAGCTGAGATTGGGCCACTGCACTCCAGCCTGGGTGACAGAGTAAGACTCCCTCCCAGAAAACAAACAAACAAACAAGAAAAAACCCACTACAAAGTTCTTACCATTCTAACTAATATTCATTTTTTTTAAATTGATTAAGCAATCCTCAGATTGTTGGAAGCCTTTGGTTAATTTACAGAGTTCTGAACATGTTGTTTTTGACAATTTTTGTCAAGGTTCTTATTGCTTTAATGGAGGAGTGGAATTTGGAGGTTAGTACTCTGCCATTCCTGATGACATCCTGGGAATGTGGACATTTTGATGTCCCCCTTTCCCGCTATTTTCTGGGCGCAGTGGCAGGCACCTGTAATCCCAGCTACTGGGGAGGCTGAGGCAGGAGAATTGCTTGAACCCAGGCGGCAGAATCGCTTCAACCCAGGCGGCAGAGGTTGCAGTGAGCTGAGACTGCACCACTGCACTCCAGCCTGGGCAACGGAGTGAGATTCCATCTCAAAATAAATAAAATAAAATAAAATAAAATAAAATAAAATAAAATAAATAAAATAAAATATAAAATACAGCCAAGCAGCCATTTGCTGACTAGAGGTTATACGTGTACTCTGCATTCCCAGAATGCTCACACTTTTTTAACTTTGGGACTTACAGCTCTCACCTGAACCAACCAATCAGAGGTCATCTGCCTTGACCAATCAGGGCTCAACTGTATTGACTAATCAGAACAAAGCAAGTTTGAATCCTTCATTTGCATAAATGGACCTAATTGGGAACTGGGGTGGGAAGTTTTGCTATAAAACCTGGGCTTTCCCTTTGTTCTCTGGAAAGCATCTTCATTTTACATGCAGGGTGTGTCTTCCCAGTTTGCAAACTTTTCACTGGAATAAGTATCTTTCCTCCAAATTCCTTTTCTAAGAAATTTTGTTCACAGTGCATTTTTAAGTGTCTAACCCATTTTTAATTGAGCTGTGTGTTCTTTATAGACGTCTATTGGATATAAACTTCCATCCATTTTATGTGTCACATATATTTTCTTTCTTTTTATAGTTTGCCTTTTTACTTTCTTAGTGGTGTTTTTTGATTAACACAATGTCTTAAATTTTAATGTAGTTCAATTTATTAATGTTTTCCTTTATGGTTAATGCTTTTTTGTGTGCATCATTTAATAAATCTTTCCTATTCTAAGGTAGTAGTTTTTTTTTTTTTTATGTTATCTTTATTGTCTTACCCTTCACAGTTAGATTTGCCATCCACCTGGAATTTATTTTTGTGAATGCTGTGGGGTAGTGTTCCATGAAAGGACCGTATAGGTAAAGTGACCCCCGATTGTTCTGTGAAAGGGCTGGATATGCAAAGTGACCCACGAATGCAAAAGAAGCCAATAAACCAAAGAATGAGGCAGACAAATCTCGTTGGTGAGTAAGGGATGGTTTATTAGAGAACTCATGTACAGAAGCCTAGTCTTAGGTGGCAGCGAGACAGGTAGATTTCCCAACTGTTACTCCCTAAAATCAGAGCTTATATACCATAGGGAAAGAGTGTATGTGTTCCGTAAAGACAATGAAAGGCAAATCAGAGCTTATATACCATAGGGAAAGAGTGTATGTGTTCCGTAAAGACAATGAAAGGCAAATCAGAGCTTATATACCATAGGGAAAGAGTGTATGTGTTCCGTAAAGACAATGAAAGGCAAATCAGAGCTTATATACCATAGGGAAAGAGTGTATGTGATCCGTAAAGACAATGAAAGGCAAATCAGAGCTTATATACCATAGGGAAAGAGTGTATGTGTTCCGTAAAGACAATGAAAGGCAAATCAGAGCTTATATACCATAGAGAAAGAGTGTATGTGATCTGTAAAGACAATGAAAGGCAAATCAGAGCTTATATACCATAGGGAAAGAGTGTATGTGATCCGTAAAGACAATGAAAGGCAAATCAGAGCTTATATACCATAGGGAAAGAGTGTATGTGTTCCGTAAAGACAATGAAAGGCAAATCAGAGCTTATATACCATAGGGAAAGAGTGTATGTGATCCGTAAAGACAATGAAAGGCAAATCAGAGCTTATATACCATAGGGAAAGAGTGTATGTGTTCCGTAAAGACAATGAAAGGCAAATCAGAGCTTATATACCATAGGGAAAGAGTGTATGTGTTCCGTAAAGACGATGAAAGGCAAATCAGAGCTTATATACCATAGGGAAAGAGTGTATGTGTTCCGTAAAGACAATGAAAGGCAAATCAGAGCTTATATACCATAGGGAAAGAGTGTATGTGTTCCGTAAAGACAATGAAAGGCAAATCAGAGCTTATATACCATAGGGAAAGAGTGTATGTGTTCCGTAAAGACAATGAAAGGCAAATCAGAGCTTATATACCATAGGGAAAGAGTGTATGTGATCCATAAAGACAATGAAAGGCAACCCTGTGGAACAGGAAAGAATGCTGTGTGTGTCATAGCCTATAATTTGTATGACAATATCAAAGTTGCTTTGATTTAAAGCCAGGATTTATAGTGAGTACATGTTCTCACACTAAGGACAGTAAATAAAATAGGAATCAGGAGGCATTCATGGGACTGGGGTTAATCAGAAGTCAACATGGTGTATTAGCATCCAAGATGGAGTCACGTTTTTCTTCACAGGTACGGTTTGGATTTTAATTTTTTTCTTTCTTTTTTTTTTGAGACGGAGTCTTGCTCTGTCACCTAGGCTGGAGTGTAGTGGCGCAATCTCTGCTCACTGTAACCTCTGCCTCTAGGGTTCAAGCGATTCTCCTGCCTCAGCCTCCCCAGCTGGGATTACGAGCACCTGCCATCATGCCTGCTAATTTTTGTATTTTTGTAGAGACGGGGTTTCACCACGTTGGCCAGGCTGGTCTCGAACTCCTTGCCCCAGGTGATTTGTCCACCTTGGCCTCCCAAAGTGCTGGGATTACAGGCGTGAGCCACTGTGCCCAGCCGGATTTTAATTTTTTCTGTGGATATTCAACTGACCCAACATCATTCATTTAAAAAATCTTAATTATATATTTATTATAAATCAAATATCCATCCATGGGTCTATTTCTGGCCTCCATTTTGTTCCATTGGCCTTATCTTCCTCCTGGCACACCTCATCATATTAATCAATATAGCTTTATAATGAACCTTGATATCTAGTAGGGGAAGTCTTCTCATTTTGTTCTTCTTTAAAATACTCTTGGCTACTTTTGGGTTTTTGCATTTCCATATACATTTTAGGATAGATGGATGGATAGTAATTTTTATTGCAATTTCACTGCACCCATAGATCAATTTGTAGTCTTCCAATTCATGAACCTGATATATTTCTTCAACTATATAGATCTTTCATTTTTCTCATTAATATTTTATCGTTTTCTGGGTAGAGGCCTTACACATCTTTTGTTATATTCTTTTTTCCAAGTATTTCATGACTTTTGATGCTGTTGTAATGGTATCTTTTAAATTTATTTAAAAAACTTTTTGTTGCTGGTATATAGAAATATGATTACTCTTTTATATTAACCTTATATCCAGTAATTTTACTAAATTCACTTATTAATCCTACTAACTATCCTTAGATACTTTTGGATTTTTCTATAATTGTACATAATCATATCGACGGTGAATAAAGACAATTTTAGTTGTTCTTTTTCAATCCTTACCCTTTTAATTTCTGTTTCTTACTTTATTTCACTGGAAGCTCCAGTACATTGCCAAATGGAAGTAATAATAACGAACATCTTTTCCTCATTCCCAATCACCACTCCCACTTCCTGCCTCTGGGTACTCAAGAAATGTTAAGTGCTGGCCGGGCGCAGTGGCTCACGCCTGTAATCCCAGCACTTTGAGAGGCTGAGGGGGGCGGATCACTTGAGGTCATGAGTTTGAGACCAGCCTGGCCAACATGGTGAAAACCCATCTCTACCAAAAAATAAAAAAATTAGCTGGGCGTGGTAGCGCATGCCTATAGTCCCAGTTACTCAGAAGGCTGAGATGGGAGAATCACTTGAACCCAGGCGGTGGAAGTTGCAGTAAGCTGAGATCACGTGACTGCACTCCCTACCTGGGCAACAGAGTGAGACCCTGTCTCAAAAAAAAAAATAAAAATAAAAAAAAAGCAAAAAACAAAGAAGAAGAAATGTAAATGCAAGTGCACCACCATACCACCCTCTCATCTATCCAAGTCAGCTCTGAGGTTATGGAAATGGGGTTTAGCCCTTGTCTGGAGATTAAAAAGGCCTCAGTCTCCCCTAAGCATAACCTCCCTGGGTTCACACAGCTGAGGAGCTCAACCCATTCCCTGTTGGCATCTTGGTTGATGACAGTTCTGGAGAGAAGGGGGAGTAAAGAGGGGCAAATTTCTAGGCTGGGCTGTGTCACTTGACCTGGTCTAGTGAGACAGGATTCTGGAACCTCATCCAGTTCTGGAGGCATCCTAAAATTTGAGAGATTATTGGGGAGTCCTGTAATCCAAATAAGTTCCCCTGCTAATACTTTAAATTCCCCCAAGACAGTAATACTTAATCCTGTAATCTGTATTAAGTATTGCCTTCTCCAGATACTTCTCTAAAAATGCAAATGCCTTTGAAAGAGGGAAGAAATAAAGTCAGTGTTACATAGTGTGCAAGTGTCAAACAGTTGCTATAATACCAGCAACACACATGCACATACATGCATAAACATACACTGTATGGCATGTTCACCGAACTGCCCTTCTCTCATTCCAGAAAGACATTGGGGAAATGTCCCAGGCAAAGAAAAGAAATGTCCTTTATGTGGTTGTGCACATGGGCTCTGGAGCTAGACTGCCTGAATTCACTGTCTGCTTTGCCATTACCAGCTTATTAATCTATGAGAAGCTACTCAACATCTCAGGGACTCAGCTTCCTTCTCTGTAAAATAGAAATAACAATACTATCTATCTAATTGGCACATGATAAGCTCTCACTAAATATTGTTGTTATTAGACAATATTAACTCCCTGCCTCCCATGCCTATGTTTGATGCAAACCAATTTTACAAATAGCAATAGCCAACTTAGACTGCCACTGCTTTCTAAGGTCTATTCAATGGCCATCTTCATTCAGCACTGTGATGGTCAGTTATAATGTGTCAATTTGACCGGTCCATGGGGTGCCCAGGCATTTCATCAAACATTATTCTGGACACTTCTATGAGGGTTTCTTGGATGAGATTAACATTTAAATTGGTAGACTTTGAGTAAAGCAGATTGCCCTCCCTGATGTGGGTGGGCCTAATCCAATCAACTGAAGGCCTGAATGGGACAATAGGCTGACTTTCTTCTGTGTAAGAGGGAATTCCTCCTGCCTCACTGCCTTCAAACTCAGCTTTCCCCTGCCTTTAGACTTGAACTGAAACGTTGGCTCTTCCTGGATCTCAAGCCTGCTGGCCTTTCGACTAAAAGTACACCATTGACTCTCCTGGTTCTTAGGCTTTCAGATTCAGAGTGAGGCTACACCACCAGCTCTCCTGGGTCTCCAGCTTGCCAACTGCAGATCTTGGGACTTGTTAGCCTTCATAATTCCATGAGCCGGTTCCTTGTAATCAATCTCTTCTGTCCATATACATATGCTGTTAGTTTTGTTTCTCTGGAGAACTCCAATACAAGAAACACCATCACTTACACCACTCGTCTCCTTTGCTTCTTTCAACATAAGAAACAGTCATAACCTCCTTTGGCTGACCAAGGAATAGGAGGCCAGGAATCTTTCTGAAGGACATCCCTTTAGGCCTGAAGAAACTACAAAGATGACTTCAATGAGAAGATATTGGAGTGGTCAGAGTCAAGTTATTGGCCTCTGAATCTCCTTCTTTGGTTACCGTCTAGGGATTAAAGGTCAGGGCAACTGACCAGGTCAAGAAGAGGGTGATAAGCTGCAGGACACTTCGGGCACACTGGCTTCACTCTGTTCCTTAGACGCATCTGGCTCATCTCTACGTCAGTGCTGTATGGGTCAGCATTCTTTGTCACAAGGAAAAGGAAGTGACTCTTGATGGCTTAAGCAAAAGGGGATGGGGAGTAGAAATTAAGCACACATTGGAGAGGATACTAAGAGACAGACCAGACCTAGGGAACACTGGATCCCATTAATTTCCAGAGGGTCAAGAAGCAGGCAGCAGGAAACAGCATGGCAGATTGTATACTTCCAAAAATAGCTACAGCAATATTTCCAGTCCCATAAGCTCTTCCAGAATCTTTCCACCTCTTATGATGAGTTGCAGTCTATTGGAACTGGGAGGAGCTGCCTTGATGAATAGAATGTGGCAGAAACAACACTAGGTGACTTCCAACACAAGGCCATAAAGGCGAGATGGCTTTCCTCTGGTGCTCCTTCTCTCTGGATATGCTTGGCCTTGCAACCCAGCTACCATGTTGTGAGGAAGCCCAGGCCATGTGGAGGGGTCATGGGTAGGTGTTCTAGCTGACAGCCACAGCTTAGGGCTCAGCCAACAGCCAGCGTCAACCACCAGCAAGGTGAGTAAATGAGCTTTCAGATGATTCCAGCCTCCAGTCTTTGAGCCACCCCAGCTGTTGCTGAGTTGACCAGAGATGACTTGTCCCCACCAAGCCCCACCCAAATTGCAGATTCAAGAACAAACTGTCATTATTATTATTATTTATTTTATTTATTTATTTTTTTGAGACGGAGTTTCATTCTTGTTGCCCAGGCTGGAGTGCAATGGTGTGATCTCGGCTCACCACAACCTCCACCTCCCGGGTTCAAGTGATTCTCCTGCCTCAGCCTCCCGAGTAGCTGGGATTACAGGCATGTGCCACCACTCCCGGCTAATTTTGTATTTTTAGTGGAGATGGGATTTCTCCATGTTGGTCAGGCTGGTCTGGAACTCCTATCCTCAGGTGATCCGCCCACCTTGGCATCTCAAAGTGCTGGGATTACAGGCATGAGCCACCATGCCTGGCCAATAACTATCATTATTTTAAGGCTTAAGTTATCATTTGCTTGTTACCCAGCAATTGGTAACTGGAATACAGCAACTGTATCAGCAGAAATCACCTGGTTAGAAGACTGCCTAGGGCACTACCACCACCACCACCTTTAGTGCCTTCTGAAGCTTCTCTCCATTCTGATCTCTTAAGATCCAAGTTCCAGGAGGGAGCATATGCACCATCTGAGTCAAGGCACCCACTGTGGGCTGTACTGAGGGCAGGCTGCAGAAAGATCTGTCTTCCTCAGCCTAAGGAAGAGAAAGGGGCAGTGGGAGATGGGAGCCACGGGTCACCCTCCCCACAAGACTTTGTGGGAAAAGTGATTCCCCATAAGTGTTATTGAAAAGGCCCCAAACTGATGCATGTGGCCTCTGCCTGAAACACAGTTCTCTCCGTCTTTGCACAGCTGGCTCTGCATGTGCAGTAAAGCATAGCAGCGGAGAGGACAGTCTCTGCTGGCCTGAGCTCAAATATCAGGTCTGCATCTTATGTGCTTGCAATTGTGTATAAAGTGGCTTCATTTCTCTGTGCCTCAGTTTCCTCATTTGGAAAGAGGAAAGAATAATAGCACCTACTTTCTTACGTTACTATGAAAATTAAATAAATAGGTGTAAGGCACCTGAAACAGTTCCTGGCAGGTAGGAAGCACGTTAACTAAGTTAAATTTTAATCATTATTTTTATTGTAATTATTAACATTTCAGCTCAAACGTCACTTCCTCAGAGAGTCTTTCTCTGGTGCCTCCATCCAAAGTAGGGCTATCTTGGCTGGGTGCAGTGGCTCAGGCCTGTAATCCCAGCACTTTGGGAGGCTGAGGCAGGCAGATCATCTGAGGTCAGGAGTTTGAGACCAGCCTGGCCAATGTGGTGAAACCCTGTCTCTACTAAAAGAAAAAAAGAAAAACAAACAAACAAACAAACAAACACTAGCCAGGTGTGGTGGTGTGTGCCTGTACCCCTAGCTATTCGGGAGGCTGAGGCAGGAGAATTGCTTGAACCCGGGAGGTGGAGGTTGCAGTGAAGTAAGATTGCACCACTGCACTCCAGCCTGGGCAATAGAGGAAGATTCTGTCTAAAATAAATAAATAAAAAACATAAATAAATAAAGTAAGGCTATAGGGCTATCTTAACTCCACCACTCAGGGAGAGGTGGCTGTCACTTTTATCTTCTTTTTGGCACTTATTCACTAAATTTAATTAGCTTATTTATTCACGAATTTGTCTACTTGTTTACTTGTATTTCTCACTGTATTTTTCATATCTTTTCAAATGTGATGAACACCTGTCTCCACCAGCTAGAGGATAATCTCTGTGAGCACGAGCCTAGGCAACCTATCATGTCACTGCTCTGTTCTTGGGGTTTGACAGAATGTAGGTGGGGGACATGGAGACACATGGCTCAGAACCCCCTCAATGGAGGGCTCATTCCTCAAACTGCTGTGAGTGCTGCAGGCAGATGACCCTTAGCTGTCAGCTGCTCCAGGGCTGGCCCCTGCTGTAGAGAGCTGTCTTAGCCAAGGTCATGTCCCTTCCTGGGTGAATCGCTAACAAAGGCAGGCATAGGAAAGCCCAGCCATCTTGGCCCAAACTGGACAACTCAGATAGGCCATTCTAGCTCCAGAGCTGCCTGGGGTCAGGACAGGCTATCTCTGGGCCTGCACCATGGTTCGATTCCTTCCTCTGCACACTCATGCTCCCCCACTCCCTTCCATGGGTGTTGAACCCTAGATCACTGTTAGATCAACATCCTGCATCCTAAACTCCATCTCAGAATCAGCTTTCTAGGAACTCAGCCTGCAACAGCCGAGCTCGAGGCATACAGATAGCTGGCATTTGCTGGAAGGATGTGTCTGGAGCCATCACAAGGGGAAATGGATCTGGGACACGTGGAGCCTCCCTGCGGGAAGGAGCATCTTTATACGTGGAGTGGCAGATGGCCTCCTGTTCCAGGGAAGATGCTTACAGTGTTCCTTTCACTTGTGGCAGATGCATAATAGGAGAAAGGAACCCGCATGATGAGAGGAGGGATCCCTGGTCAGTCGCTCCATAAGGATTGGGCTATGAATGCAGATTCTCACAGAGTGACAGAGCTAAAAAATCCAGGGGGGTCACCATGCTTCTCAAATATTTCTACCCAAGTGTCTCAAAGGGAAAGGAAGGTGAGCGCAGATCCCTGGCTCAAGGACAGGCTGTCTTCACCCAGTGACCAGGGATATGGGGAAACTCAGATGAGAATGGAAATCCAAAGCTAAGGCCAGATCCATCTGGGACCTGAGTGAGTTCAGGGGTCAGCCAGAGCCTGAATCAGGTCTCAGTGTAGGCTCAGAGCTCAGTCTTGGATCAGAGCTCTGTTTGAGGTTCGGGCTTAGTCTGGGGTCAGGGTTCACTTAGGATTGGAGCTCAGTCATCTGAGGTTGGCATGAGAGCTCAGTCTGGGGTCGGTACTGTCTGGTACTGGACCAGGACTCCACGTGGAGCCCAAGCTCTGTCTAGAGCCAGAGTCAAGCCAGGATTTAGCTATGGTAGGATCCAGGGCTTAGTGTGAGGCCAAGGTCTGGGGCCCATCTGGCATCAGGGTCATGACCTAGTTAGCCTCTGAGTCACGGCCGTCTTTGGGGTCACGAGCACAAGCTGGAGCCTCATCCTAGTTTCAGTCCGAGGCTTGTTAAGGGCTTGGCCTTGGCTCAGGTTTAGGCTCGATGCTAGGGCAAGGTGTAGCCTGGTGTCAGAGCTCAGTCCTGGAGCAAGATTGGAAGCAATGTGTTGTCCTACGGCAAGGTCAGTCAACTACAACCTGTGGGCCAAACTTGGCCTGCCACCTGTTTTTGTAAGTAAAACTTTATTGCAACACATCCAGGCTCATTTGTTTATGCACTAAGTATGGCAGTTTTCATGCTATAGCAGCAGAGTTGAGTAGTTGTAACAGAGACTCTATGGCCTGCAAAGCCTGAAATATTTACTATCTGGTCATTGGCAGAAAAGTTTGCCAACCTCTGTTCTAAAGGTTTGGAGGCCCCTCTGGTATGTGAAAGCTCAGATCCCTGACCTAACTTGGTGTCAAGGGCCTTCATGAAGTTTCAGATAGTGTTTAAGAGACAGGGGGACTCAATGGAAGCAGGAGTCCTGAGACTCAGTAAAGCCCTGTTGCTGGTGTCCTTCTGAGTGTCCCATGGCCAGCCAATTCTAAGGCTTTTCTCAGTCTTGAACTACCTGTTCTGCCCTTCCTGTGTTAAGCACATGGTCAGGGTCTTGCCCTACCAGCTGAAAGGAATTCCCTACCTGCACATTTTTCTTTGTAATTTCCAAAACCACATTCCCACTCACACTCTCCCTTGGACTTCTAAGCTGTCTTCTGTCAATTTCTCTACCTCTCCCACTCACAAGCAGGGCTTTCTCATTGGCTGTTGGGGCGGCTTCTGCTTTCCACTGGGGCTGGAATAACCAGGGAGGCCACTTTTGTCCCATTAAAATGCTACTCGAAGGCACCAAGGGCAAGAGCGTTGTACTGGAAACAGAGCTATGTGGCAGGTGGCCCTCACCACCTTCAGCTACATTCCCCTCCCTAAACACCTACAAGGGGACTTCAAAAGGTTCATGGAAAAGTAACATTAAAACATAAACATAAAAAGTAGAAACTTTATTTCTCAACATGAGCTCTGTCAAGTTCAAGATATTTTTGTAAATAATAATACCTGCCATTTAGTCTATTCCTAAGTAACTGAGGGTCCAGGGGATTTAACCATGTCAACACAGTCTTTTTTTTTTTTTTAACACAATTAACTGAAGAAAAACGGGCACCCTTTAAAGATTTTGTTTTTAAGATTAGGAAACAGGCTGGGCCCAGTGGCTCATGCCTGTAATCCCAACACTTTGGAAGGCTGAGGCAGGAGGATCGCTTGAGGTCAGGAGTTTGAGACGCACCTGACCAACATGGTGAAATCCCATCTCTACTAAAAATGCAAAAATTAGCCGGGCGTGGTGGCACACGCTTGTAATCCCAGCTACTCAGGAGGCTGAGGCGGGAGAATCGCTTGAACCCGGGAGGCAGAGGTTGAGGTGAGCTGAGATCGCGCCACTGCACTCCAGCCTGGGCGGCAGAGCAAGACTCTGTCTCAAAAAAAAAAAAAAAAAAAGAGATTAGGAAATAAAAAGAAGTCAGATGGAGCCAAATCAGGACAGTATGGTGGATGCTTAATGAATTCCAGTCAACCCTCTCACAAAATTGCCTTTGTTTGATGAGAGGAATGAGCAGGAACATTATTGTCGTGGAGAAGGACTCTCTGGTGAAGCTTTTCTGGGTTTTTTTCTGAAAGCTTCAGCTAACTTTATCAAAACACTCGTAATAAGCAGGTGTTGTTACTCTTTGGTTCTCCAGAAAACCGACAAGCAAAATGTCTTGAGCATCCCAAAAAACAGTTTCTACAAGCTTTGCACCTGACCGGTCCACTTTTTTTTTTTTTTTGAGACAGAGTCTTGCTCCGTTGCCCAGGCTGGAGTGCAGTGGTGCAATCTCGGTTCACTGCAACCTTCACCTCCTGGGTTCAAGTGATTCTCCTGCCTTAGTCTTCCGAGTAGCTGGGATTACAGGCACACACCACAACACCTGGCTAATGTTTGTATTTTTAGTAGAGATGGGGTTCACCTGGCCAGGCAGGTCTTGATCTCCTGACCTCAAGTGATCCGCCCACCTCGACCTCCCAAAGTGCTGGGATTACAGGTGTGAGCCACCGCGCCTGGCCGGCTGGTCCACTGTTGCTTTGACTGAACCATTTCCCCCTCTTGGTAGCCATTGCTTCGATTGTGCTTTGTCTTTAGGACTGTATTGGTAAAGCCATGTTCCATCCTGTTACAATTCTTTGAAGAAATGCTTCGGGATCTTGATCCCTTGTTTACAATTTCCACGGAAAGCTCTGCTCTTGTTTGCAGCTGATCTGGGGGCAACAGTTTTGGCACCCATTGAATGAAACATTTTCTCAACTTTAATTGTTCGGTCAGAATTGTGTAAGTTGAGCCCTGTGAGGTGTTTGCTGTTGTTTGTGCTGTTAGTCACTGGCCCTCTTCAGATTTGGGGCTGCAGATTTTAGAGGAATGCAATCCAGTTTGGGCCCTTCCTTTATCTTCTTAAGATTATCCTAGGCAGCAATCGCCCCTCAGATCCTGGGCCTGTGTCTTCACTGAGGGAAAATCTCCCTTTGCTTAAAATCTAATGCTTTTTAGGATCGGGACTTAGGAGGTATAAATGGCACACACATGGGCCTCCACTCTGCCTCTAGCTCACCCTGTGGCCTCTGTAAGTTTCCTTCTTCTCTGTAATGGGAGTGTTGAGGGATGGTTAGGTTCCAGCTCTGATACTTTTGGATTCTCTGTCAGGACTGTGGGGAGGATCCTTGGCTCTTGATGTGGCCAGGGCATTTGAAAAGCAAGGAGAGTCCAAGGGTCAGCCAGGGTGACAGCGAGGTGGCAGGGTGGAAGATGGCAGAGCTGAGTGGGCCAGGGTTTCTCTGATGCTCGGGTCTGTCAACCTCCCAGCCATGGGGATGAGAGATGAAGGTTGGAGAGGCTCCCTCGGTTCTTACATCATCTATGGTTGTCCAAAAGTTTAAGGATTACTGAGTGCAACACTTCATTTTACAGAAGAGTAAACTGAGGCCCAGGAGGAGAAGGAACTTGCCTAAGTTTACAAAGTAGGGCAGAGGTTGAGGCAGGATTAACTGAGGCCTCCTGGCTCCCATGTGGAAGAGACAAAGAATGGGCAGGAGGAGGACAGGGGCCAAATCCACCCCTCTCAGTCCCTCATGATCCATCACTTGGCAGTGGCCACATGGACGATCACAAAGCCCTTGATGTCCGGGAAGTGAGGGCTTACAAGGTCCACCTGCAGCTGCCTTGGGCCACTTTTGGAGGGGGTGATGTCAAACTGGACTGAGGCCCTCTCCTGAGGCTCCAGGGTAGGCACGCTGGAGGAAGGGGAGGGGAGAAAGGCAGACTGTCAGTCCTCTTGCCATTCTGAGTCTGGCCTGCCAATCCACGGCTCCCCAGGCTCCTCAGGATCAAGTTCACCTTGTGGCTTGACATTCAAGCCTTATCAACATGTTTGCAGGCCAGGTGCGGTGGCTCACTCCTGTAATCCCAGCACACTGGGAGGCTGAGGCAGGTGGATCATCTGAGGTCAGGAGTTCGAGACCAGCCTGGCCAACGTGGTGAAACCTCATCTCTACTAAAATACAAAAATTAGCCGGGTGCAGTGGTGCACACCTGTAATCCCAGCTACTCAGGAAGCTGAGACAGGAGAATCGCTTGAACCTGGGAGGGAGAGGTTGCAGTGAGCCAAGACTGCACCACTGCACTCCAGCTGGGGCAACAGAGTGAGACTCTGTCTCAAAAACAAACAAACAAAAACAACAACCAAAAAAACATATTTCCAATTTAATTTTCTCTTCTACCACCCACACTCTTCCCATCTAGCCAGGCTAGTTTTCTGTCTGTGCCCTGAACTTCCCCCCTCTGGGCTTTCATCTGCTCTGTTCCACCTAGGATGCCTTTCTTATTCCAATCCACCCAAGGCCCAAATCAAGTTCTCTTTTTCCAGGAGACCTTCCCTGACAACACCAGCCATCAGGTGTTGACACCAAGACCTTTGCCTGGCAAACCGTCCTTACTTCTTGATACCTGAAAATCTCAATTCATCATTTAAGGCTCAGCTCAAACACCAGCTCCACTGGGACTTCTTCCTGGCCCCACCCTCACTTAAGGGCTGCTTTTGCTCCCCCAGACCTTGGACAAGATCTTTTTCACAAATCACACTGTCCTCATGTGAAGGGCCATCTGTATCTGAGAGCCCTTCTCCAGGCAAAACTGTTTCTGTCCATCTTAGTGTTCCTAACAATTACACATGGGCCAGAGTACAGGTCAGTATAATCAAGGACCACATGAGTTGCAAGTGGATGAATGGAAGAATGAAGGAGTGAATGAATGATTGACAATGAATAAGTAAATAAACGAATCCATGAACAAATGGGAACATGTGTGAATGAATGAGTGAAGCATAAATGTAGGAATAAGTGAATGAAAAAATGAACAAATGAGTGAATAAAGAGTAAGCAAATTGAAGAATGCATGAATGAATGAGTGAAAGAGAGCAAATGAATGAAAGTGAGTGAATAAATGGATAAATAAATGAAAGTATGAATGAATGATATGAGTGAATGACTGAGTGAATGAGTTATATGATTTGAGTAAATGAATGATTGGATGAATGAAGGAATAAATAAGTGAATGAAGGCTGATATGTATAGTCTGTGGGCTGGTTCCTGGGGTGTCCAGAATCTCTCTCACACCCCCATCCCTGGCAACTTCTCTCTGGCTCATCCACAAGGAAGAGAGCCCCATTCCCTGCCAGCCCCCCAGGCTGGCACTTACTCGATGCTGAGCTGTTCCTGGAGAAGGCCGCTGCCCTCCACCATCAGCGCACAGTCCTTCACTCTCTCTATGAGGGGGTTGACTACTGTCACTTCCACTGTAACTGCCACTCCCACCATGGCTGGGCCCAGAACCTGAAGGGGACAACACCCATGAGCCATCGCGCCTACCCCTCCTCCCTCCAGGAAACCGATGGTCCTGGCTGAGTTAGAGGATGGATCATTAGTCATGTCCACCCCCACCTCCATATACCCCATTGCTGAGTGCCACTATTGCACCCATCCCCTTATGTCCAACCCACTCCTCCCACCCTGGAGAGCTAAAGCTGGAGTTAAAGGCACAAACCCCCCCAGCTTCTGACGCCCTCCCCCAGCTCTGGGGAGTGGGTGCCACTAGGAACAGCATGGTAGATGCAGGCTGAGGTCACCTTGATGGTGATGAAGTCCTCTAGAGTAATGTCCTTCTCCACCAGAAGCTTCTCTCCTTTGGTGACAAGGCACATGGCAGCCAACAGGATCTTCTTGTCCTCTGTCAGGTCTTCTTTATACTTAGAGTAAGATATTGTAATTGGGATTCTCTTCTCTGGAAGGGAAAGCAGAAGTGGGAGTTGGGGCTTGATGTCTTTCTTCAATGGCACTGGGAAGAAGGAAGGGAATGCACAACTAATAGCTCCTTTCTCTCTGGTCCTTGCAACCATTCTGAGACAGGCTTTATTTTCCTCGGTTCTCAGATGAAGAAACCTAAGGCCCAGAGTGGGTATTTTCCTGTTCAAACTCATATAGGAAGTAAACCAAGAAATTAAGATGAGGTGGGAGTCAAATTTAGGTCAGGGAGCTACCACAATACCAGATAATTTCTCCAAGAGCCCCCAGAGATGTTTCCAAGCTTTCCCTACTTATTCAAGATGAAAATCTCTCAGCCCATCATCCATTCATCCCATCCTTCTCTGTTTATTGAGCACCTACTATGTGCTAGGAGCAGAGAAGAGGAAGACCAAAGGCATGCCTCAATCTTCCAATCCTGTGAGGCCAATTCCCTACAACTTTTCCAAATGCCCCCCTCCATGAAGGCCCAGTCCTGGTCAGCCCCACCAACTGAGGGAAGTCTTCACTGACACCTCCTCCCAGTGCTCTCATGCTCTCTGAGCTCCTGTGGTCCTGGCCATCTCTGTCTCCCTCTCACCAGTCAGAAACATCCTTCCTAGGTGTTCTTTTCTTGTAAGCATGGATCACCATAAACCTCAGTCTTTTTTTTTTTTTGGAGACGGAGTCTCGCTCTGTCGCGAGGCTGGAGTGCAGTGGCATGATCTCGGCTCACTGCAACCTCCACCTCCTGGGTTCAAGCAATTCTCCTGCCTCAGCCTCTTGAGTAGCTGGGACTACAGGCACATGCCACCATGCCCAGCTAATTTTTGTATTCTTAGTAGAGATGGGGTTTCACCATGTTCGCCAGGATGGTCTCGATCTTTTGACCTCATGATCCTCTCGCCTTGGCCTCCTAAAGTGCTGGGATTACAGGTGTGAGCCACCATGCCTGGACCATATTTGTTTTTTTTTTTTTTCTGACTACTATATATTCTTTCTTTTAGGTTCAATGTGCTCTTTCTGGTTTGCTCCCAGGCCCTCTCATTCCCTATTGTTCTACTCCCACTGCTTCCTTTATTTCTGTTTTCTTTCTGACTCTGAAGGCATCTGAGTTTTTAACTCATGGAAAAGGTCCTTAAAGGGCTCAACTTGGCTCATGCGCTCTGCTACCCCAGGGCTTTGCATATCGTAGATTCTCCTGAATGCCAGTAGGGTGATTCATGTGTTAAAGTATGATTTTGTTTTATGGGCTCCCTTAGTTCAGTAGGTCATTATTGGAAGAACCTTTATTACAATAACAGTAATAAATAATAATTATAGGCCGGGTGCCGTGGCTCACGCCTGTAATCCCAGCACTTTGGGAGGTGAAGGCGGGTGGATCACCTGAGGTCAGGAGTTCAAGACCAGCCTGACCAACATGTTGAAACCCTGTCTCTACTAAAAAAAATTACAAAATTAGCAGGGCGTGGTGTTGTGCCTATAATCCCAGCTACTTGGGAGGCTGAGGCAGGAGAATTACTTGAACCTAGCAGGCGGAGGTTGCAGTGAGCTGAGATTGCGCCACTGCACTCCAGCCTGAGCGACAGAGAGAGACTCTATCTCAAAATAACAATAATAATTATAATTATAAAAGCTAAGTTTTACTAAGGGATTAAAGTGTACTGCACTTGGAAGCGCTTTCACAGATTGACTTATTTAATCCTTACAACAATTCCATGAGCGGGTATTATTATTTTTATTTTATTGATTGATTTATTATGTTATTGATAATATATTATTATTGATAATAATATCAAAAACACTGATAATAAACATAAATTGAATGCTCATTAGGTAGTAAGAATGATGCCAAATACTTTATATACATTATATCATTTACTCCTTGCATGGTGATAGACCACGGTTCTCCAAGTGTGGTCCTGGGACCAGCAGCATCAGCGTCACCTGGGAACTTGTTAGAGATGTAAATTCTCAGTCTCCAGCATGAAGAACCATCATATGCCACCATATGATACACATGAGCAGAGCTTTGGGCATCAGCTCAGATCCTGGGAGAAAGGAGGAGAAAAGTAGCCCTTTAAAATGTTTGCATCAGGGCTTTTTGAAGTTCTCTGACTCATAGACACCACTAACAATCTAATAAAAGCTGAGACCCCTTTCCCTAGAACAATGGTTCTCAATAGCACCGTCACTCAGCTGGGCTAACTGACATCTGCAGAATATTTCATCCAACAACAGCAGGATACGCATTCTTCTCAATCTTACACGGAGCACTCACCAAAAAGGATCACATTCTGTGGCATAAATGACACATTAACAAGTTTAAAATAATAGAAATTATGCAATATATGCCCCCAGAACACAATGAAATCAAACTGGAAATCAATGACAGAAAGACAGCTGAAAAATCTAAAATACCTAGGGATTAAACAACACACTTCTAGAAGAACACATGGGACAAAGAAGAAGTCTTAAGAGAAATTTAAAAGTATTTCGAAGTAAATGAAAATGAAACTACAACTTATCAAAATTTGTGGGCACGTGCCTGTAGTCTCAGCTACTTGGGAGGCTGAGGAGGGAGAATCACCTGAGCCTGGGAAGTTGAGGCTACAGTGAGCCATGATTGTGCCACTGCACTCCAGCCTGGGTGACAGAACGAGACTCTGTCTGAAAAGCAAAACAAAACAAACAAACAAACACCCCTCCCCCAACACACAAACTTGTAGGTTGCAGCAAAAGCAGTGCTTAGAGAGAAGTCTATAATATTCAATACATATGATAGAAAAGAAGAAGGATCTAAATCCAATAATCTAAACTTCTGCTTTAGGAAACTATAAAAAGGAGAACACGTTAAACTCATCTTAAGCAGAAGAAAAGAAATAATAAAAATTAGAGCAGAAATCAGTAAAATTGAAAATCAGAGATCAATAGAGAAAATCACCAAAACCAAAAGCTGGTTCTTTGAAAAGATCAGTAAAGTCAATAAGCCTCTAGCAAGGCTAACTCAGAAAAAAAAGAGAGAAGGCACAAGTTACTAATATGATAAATGCAAGAGAGGACATCTCTACAGATTCCATGGACATTAAAAGGATAGTAAAGGTAACAAGTTTGGGGAGTTAGGAAAAAAACAGAGAGTAAAGGAATATTATGAACAACTTTATGCCCACAGGTTTGATAATCCAGATAAAAGGGACCAGTTCTTGAAAGAAAAAAATCTGCTAAAATTCACATAAGAAGAAACAGACAACATGAATAGGCCTATATCTACTAAAAAATGGAATCAGTACTTAATAACCTTCCAAACCAGAACACATTAATCCCAGATGGGTTCACTGGTGAATTATACCAAGAATTTAAGAAAAAAAAATTATAGCAATTCTCTACAATCTCTTCCAGAAAATGGAAGCAGAGAAATACTTCCTGATTCATTCTATGAGGCCAGCATTACCTTAATGCCAAAAACCAGACAAAGACATTGCAAGAAAAACAAAACTACAGACCAATATGAACATAGATGCAAAAATTCCCACAAAATATTGGTAAATTGAATTAACAATGTATAAAAAATTACATGCTATGATCAAGTGGGATTTATTCTAGGCATGTAAGGCTGGGTCAATATTAAAGGTCAATTAATATAGTCCATCAAATCAACAGGAAAAAATAACATGATCATATCAATAGATGCAGAAAAAGAATTTGATAAAATCCAACACCCATTCCTGATAAAGCTCTCAGCAAACTAGGAATAGAGGAGGAATTTACTCAACTTGATAAAGAACATCTACAAAAAACCTACAGCAAACATTGTCCTTATTGGTGACAAACTGGAAGCTTTCCCATGATGATTAGGAACAAGGCAAGGATGTCCCCTCTTACTATTCCTTTTCAACATCATATTGGAAGTCTTTGCTAATGCAATAAGATAAAACAAGGAAATAAAATGTATACAGATTGGGAAGGAAGAAATAAAACAGTCTTTGTTCACAAATGATATAATTGTTTATGTAGAAAATCCAAAAGAATTGTCAACAACAACAAACAAAAAATCCTGGAACTTATGAGTGGTAATAGCAAGGTTACAGGGTATAAGATTACTAATATACAGAAGTCAATCATTTTCCTATATACCAGCAATGAACAATTGGAAATTAAAATTAAAAACATAATACCACTTATGTTAGCACCACCAAAAATGGAACACTTAGGCATTAATTTAACAAAATATGTACAAGATCTACACAAGAAGAACTGTAAAACTCTGATGAAAGAAATCAAAAAACTAAATAAATGGAGAGATATTCCATGTTCATGGATAGAAAGGCTCAATATTGTCAAAATGTCAATTTTTCCTAGCTTGATCTATAGATTCAATGCAATCTGAAGAAGTTATTTTGTGGATATTGACAAACTGATTCCAAACTTTATGTGTGGGTGGGAGGCAGGAATGAAGAGAAGTTGGATAATGGGTACAAGATAGTTAGAAAGAATAAGTTCTAATATTTCATAACACAGTAGGGAAATTATAGTTAATAATGATTTATGGTACCTTTCTAAATAGCTAGAATAAATTGTATAGTTTCGAACACGAAGAAAAGATACAGATAAATGTATAAGGTGATGGATATCCCAATTACCCTGATTCGATTGTTACACATTCTATACATGTATCAAAATATGTGTACCCACAAAATATGTATTACTAATATATATCAATTAAGATTTTTTTAAAGAACCATGACATAAAAAAGTTTATGTCAAGAGGCAAAAGACCCAGAGTAGTCAGTACAATTGTACAATTGTACATTATTGAAGGAGAGGAACAAAGTTAGAGGACTGGCACTACCTGACTTCAGGTACCTTTAAGATTTACTATAAAGGTACAGTCATCAAGACAGTGTGGTATTAGTGAAAGAATGGACAAAGACAGGCATACCTTATTTTACTGTGCTTCATTTTATTGTACTTTGCAGATATTGCATTTTTTACAAATTGAAGTTTTGTGGCAACCCTGAGTCAGGCAACTCTATAAGAGCCATTTTTCCAAGAGCATGTGTTTGCTTCTATGATCAGTGATCTTTTTTTTTTTTTCTTTAAGACAAGGTCTTGCTCTGTCACCCAGGCTGTAAGTGCAGTGGTGTGATCATAGCTCACTGCAAACTTCCAGCTCTTGGGCTCAAGCAATCCTCCTGCCTCAGCCTCCAGGTAGCTAGGACTATGGGAGCATGCCACCACACCCAGCAGGTATTTTTTATTTTAATTTTTTGTAGAGATGGGGTATTGCTGTGTTGCCCAAGCTGGTCTCAAACTCCTAGGTTCAAGCAGTTCTCTCACTTTGGCCTCCAAAAGTGAATGGGATTGGGATTACATATATGAGCCCCTGTGCCCAGCCCTTGATCAGTGATCTTTGAGGCTACTATTGTAACTGTTTGTTAGCACCACAAACCATGCCCTGTAAGATGTTGAACTTAATTAAAAAATGTCATGTGAGTTCTGACTGCTCCACCGACTGGCCATTTCCCTATCTCTCTCCCTGTCCTTGGGCCTTCCTATTCCCGGATACACAATAATATTGAAATTAGGCCAATTAATAAACCTACAATGGCCTCTAGGTGTTCAAGTTAATGAGAGTTACATGTCTCTCACTTTAAGTCAAAAGCTAGAAATGATTAAGCTTAGTGAGGAAGGCACATAGAAAGCCAAGATGGGCCAAAAGCTAGGCCTCTTGTGCCAAACAGCAAGGTTTTGAATGCAAAGGGAAAGTTCTTGAAGGAAATTAAAAGTGCTACTCTTGAAGGAAACTAAAAGTGACATAGGAATGATAAGAAAGCAAAATAGCCTTATTGCTAATATGGAGAAAGTTTTAGTGATCTCCATATAAGATCACACCAGCCATAACATTCCATTAAGCCAAAGCCTAATCCAGAGCAAGGCCCTGATTCTCTTCAATTCTATAAGGATTGAGAGATGTTAGGAAGCTACAGAAGACAAGTTTGAAGCTAGCACAGGTTGGTTCATAAGGTTTAAGGAAAGACGCCATCTCTATAACATAAAAGTGCAAGCTGAAGCAACAAGTGCTGATGTAGAAGCAACAGCAAGTTATGCAGAGACTCTAGCTAAGATCATTGGTGAAGATGGCTACATAAAACAACACATTTTCAATGTAGAAAAAATAGCTTTATATTGGAAGAAGATGCCATCTAGGACTTTCATAGCGGGACAGAAGTCAATGCCTGGCTTCAAAGTTTCAAAGGAGAGGCTGACTCTGTGCATTAAGGAGCTAATGCAGCTGGTGACTTTAAGTTGAAGCCAATGCTCATTTAAATTTCTAAATCCTAGGGCCCTTAAGAATTATGCTAAATCTACTATGCCTGTGGTCCATAAAGGAACAACGAAGCCAGGATGATAGCACATCTGTTTATAGCATGGTTTACTGAATATTTTAGGCCAACTGTTGAGACCTACTGATCAGAAAAGAAGATTCTTGTCAAAGTATTACTGCTCATTGACAATGCACCTAGTCACTCAAGAACTCTGATGGAGGTGTACAATGAGATTAATGTTATTTTCATGCCTGTTAACATTCATTCTGCAGACCATGAATCAATGAGTAATTTTAACTTTCAAGTCTTTTTATTTAAGAAATACATTTCATAAAGCCATAGCTGCCATAGATAGTGATTCCTCTAATGGATCTGGGCAAAGTCAATTGAAAACCTTCTGGAAAAGATTCACCATTCTAGACACCATTAAGTATATTCATGATTCATGGGAGGAGGTAAAAATATCAACATTAATAGGAGTTGGAAAGAAGTTGATTCCAACTCTTATGGATGACTTTGAGGCATTCAAGATTTCAATGCAGGAAGTCACTGATGATGTGGTGGAAACAGCAAGAGAATTAGAGTGCAGCCTAAAGATGTGACTGAATTGCTCCATCTGATGGTAAAACTTGAACAGATGAAGAGTTGCTTCTTATGTGTGAGCAAAGAAAGTGTTTTTCAAAGATGGAAACTACTCCTGGTGAAGATGCTCTAAACGTTGTTGAAATGGCAACAAAAGATTTTGAATATTACATAAACTTAGTTGATAAAGCAGTGGCAGGGTTTGAGAGGATTGACTCCAAGTTTGAAAGAGGTTCTACTGTGAGTAAAATGCTATCGAACACCATCGCATACTACAGAGAAATCCTTCGTGAAAGGAAGAAAGTCATTCAATGTGGCGAATTTCGTTGTTGTCTTATTTTAAGAAATTGCCACAACCACCCCAACCTTTGGCAACCACTACCCTGGTCAGGTAGTAGTGTTGCGATGGTGTTTGATAGCATTTTACTCACAGTAGAACTTCTTTCAAACTTGGAGTCAATCCTGTCAAACCCTGCCACTGCTTTATCAACTAAGGTAGCAGCCATCAACATTGAGGCAAGACCTTCCACCAGCAAAAAGATTATGACTCAGTGAAGGTTCAGATGGTTAACTTTTTTTTTTTTTTTTTGAGAAAGAGTCTCCCTTTGTTACCCAGGCTGGAGTGCAGTGGCAGGATCTCAGCTCACTGCAGCCTTGAACTCCCGGGCTCAAGTGATCCTCCCACCTCACTTTTGAGTAGCTGAGACAACAGGTGTGTACCACCATGCCTGGCTAATTTTTTTTGTTTTCTTCCTTTATTTATTTTTTTTGTAGAGATGGGGTTTCACCATGTTGCCCAGGTTGGTCTTGAGCTCTTGAGCTCAAGTGATCCTTCTGCCTCAGCCTCCCAAAGTGCTGGGATTACAGGTATGCACCGCCTGTGCCTGGCCCCGATTGTTAGCATTTTATAGCCGTAAAGTATTTTAAAATTAAGGTGTATATATTTTTTAAAAGAAATAATGCTATTGCACGCTTTATAGACTACAGTATAATGTAAATATAACTTTTATATGCACTGGGAAACCAAAACATTTGTGTGACTTGCTTTATTGCAATATTCCTACTATTGTGGTTGTCTGGAACCAAACCTGCAATATGTCTGAGGTATGCCTCTAGATCAATGGAATAGAAGAGAGTTCAGAAATAGACCTGCACAAACATAGTCAGTTGATCTTTGACAAAGTAGCAAAGGAAATACAATGGAGAAAAGATAGTCAACAAATGGTGCTGAAGCAACTGGATATCCACACGGGGAAAAACAATCTAGACACAGGCCTTACATTCTTTACAAAATGTACTAAACTGAATCATTGACCTAAATGTAAAATGCAAAACTACAGAACTCTTAAAGATAACATGGGAGAAAATCTAGATGACCTGAGATTGGTAATATATATATATTTTTTTGAGATGGAGTCTTGCTCTATCGCCCAGGCTGGAGTGCACTGGTGTGATTTTGGCTCACTGCAACCTCCGCCTCCCGGGTTCAAGCGATTCTCCTGCCTCAGCCTCCCGAGTAGCTGGGATTACAGGCACCCACCACCACGCCCAGCTACTTTTTGTGTTTTTAGTAGAGATGAGGTTTCACCATGTTGACCAGGCTGGTCTCAAACTCCTGATCTCAAGTGATCCACCTGCTTCAGCCTCCCAAAGTGCTGGGATTACAGCCGTGAGCCACCACATCCAGCCGGTAATTTTTTTTGATACAATACCAAAGGCATGATCCATGAAAGAAAAAATTGATAAGTTGGACTTTATTAAAACTAAAAACTCTGCACTGCAGAAAACACTGTGAAGAGACTGGGAAGAGAGGACACAGCCTGGGAGAAAATGTTTGCAAAAGACATCCGATAAAAGACTGTTATCCAAAATACACAAAGACCTTTTAAAAACCAGCAATGAGAAAATGAACAACCCGATTAAAATATGGGCAAAAGACCTGGACACCTCACCAAAGAAGAGATAGAGATGTCAAATAAGTATATGAAAAGATGCTCAATGTCATATGTCATTAGTGAATAGTAAACTCTGATATACTATTACACACCTATTACAATGTCAGTAATCCAAAACACACAATACCATCTGCTGGATAGAATAGGGAACAACAGGAATGCTCATATATTCCTGGTGGGAATTCAAAATGATACAGCCACTTTGGAAGACAGTTTGTCAGTTTCTTACCAAAACATACTCTTACCATAAGGTGCAGCAAGTGTGCTCCTTGGTATTTATCTAAAGAATTTAAAATTCGAGCCGGGCACGGCGGCTCATGCCTGTAATCCCAGCACTTTGGGAGGCCGAGGCAGGTGGATCACGAGGTCAGGAGATCAAGACCATCCTGGCCAACATGGTGAAACCCTGTCTTTACTAAAAATACAAAAATTAACTAGGTGTAGTCGTGTGTGCCCGTAATCCCAGCTACTCGAGAGGCTGAGGCAGGAGAATCACTTGAACCCGGGAGGCGGAGGTTGCAGTGAGCCAAAATCGCACCACTGCACTCTAGCCTGGTGACGGAGCGAGACTCTGTCTCAAAAAATAAAAAAAAAAAATTAAAAACTCAAGCCCACACAAAAACCTGCATAAGGATGTTTACAGCAGCTTTATTCATAATTGCCAAAACTCGGAATCAACCAAGAAGTCCTTCAGTAGGTGAATGGATAAACTGTGTACATCCATATAATGGAATACTATTTTGCAATAAGAAGAAATGACCCATCAAGACACAAAAACCGTAAGGGATCCTTAAATACATATTGCTAAGTGAAAGAAGCCAATCTGAAAAAGCTTAATTACACTGTATGATTTCAACTAGATGACATCATGAAACAGGCAAAAGTGTGGAGACAGTAAAAAGATCAGTGGTCACTGGGGGTTCAGGCAAGGGAAGGAGGGATGAATAGGTGGAGCACATAGCTGGAACATGGGGATATTGGAGGGGTGAAACTATTCTGTATGACAGTGGAATGTTAGATACATGTCATTATACATTTGTCAAAAGCCATAGAATGCACAACACAGAGTGAACCCTAATATTAACTATGAATTTTAGTTAATAATACTGTGCCAATATTGGCTCATTAATTGTAACAAATGTACCACACTAAAGCAAGATGTTAATAACAGGAGGAGAGGCGTGGTGGTGGACAGGGGTATGGGAACTCTCTGTACTTCCCACTCAAAGTTTTCTGAAAACCTAAAACTACTTAAAAACCTAATAATTTAATAAATTATATGTTTTAATAGTCTATCATTTGGCCAAAGAATTTCACTTTTTTTTTTGTTTGTTTTTTTAGACAAGAGTCTCTCTCTGTTGCCCAGGCTGGAGTGCAGTGGCGCGATCTCGGCTCACTGCAAGCTCTGCCTCCTGGGTTCACGCCTTTCTCCTGCCTCAGCCTCCTGAGTAGCTGGGACTACAGGCGCATGCCGCCACGCCCGGCTAATTTTTTTGTATTTTTAGTAGAGATGGGGTTTCACTGTGTTAGCTAGGATGGTCTCCATCTCCTGACCTCGTGATCCACCTGCCTCGGCCTCCCAAAGTGCTGGGATTACAGGCGTGAGCCACTGCGCCTGGCCCAAGAATTTCACTTTTGTGATACAGTCTAACAAAAGTCCAAAATCCAGAGGAAAAAAAGTGATTTCTTTTTGCATCAAAATGTTCACTTGCTTACCTGACACTCTGTAGATAAACAAAAGTTTAGTGTTATTTTTAATAGCAATAAGCTGATAACTACCTAAAAGAAAACATAGGTCACCATATATTTATTTAAAGATCTGTTAAATTCTATTTATTTAAATATCTATTAAAATGATGTTTGTGAGGAGCTTATAAAAATATTTAAAATACAATGCAATATGAAAAGAGCAGGGCATTAATGACTATTTGCAATATTTAACCAGAACTGTTTTTCAAAAAGCAAACAGGCATTAAGGATTTGGAAGTAAAATACATTAACAGTTTGTAGGTGGGTGGTAGAATCATAGGTGATTTTTCTCTTTTGCTTTCCAAATTTTTATGAATATGTATTACTTTTAATATGAAAAAAATTGCTGAAAGCCAGAGGGAAGTGTGTGTTAATTAAAATTTTATGATGAAGTGTTATTTTGTGATTTAGACTTTGTGAAAAATAAATGACAAAAAAAGCTAAAAAAGTGTGACACCTCCTTCATACATTTTCACACCCTGCGAAAATCCACAAGCTTCACTTACCAGAAACTGGCCCAGAGCAACAATTTCTTTGTTTAATTGAATCCTTAGAATTCAGAAAGTATGTGAAAGGAGAGAGAGGCAAAGGAGAGATAGAGATACAGAGATAGACTGAGAGAGATAGAGAGACAGATGAAAAAGCCAAAGGGACAGAGACAGAGAGACAGACAGGGAAGGAGAGACAGATGGAGAGGGAGATACCGGCAAAAAGACAGACAGACAGACTAGGAAAAAAGTGCAAGAATAATCAAAGAGGATACATTTAATAAATCATCCACGAAGTGCTATGTGTTCAAGGATCACGAAAAAATCCTTTAACCTCCGCTTCCTGGGTTCAAGTGAGTCTCCTGCCTCAGCCTCCTGAGTAGCTGGGACTACAGGCGTGTGCCACCATGCCCGGCTAATTTTCTTGTATTTTTAGTAGAGATGGGGTTTCACTGTGTTAGCCAGGATGGTTTCGATCTCCTGACCTCGTGATCCACCCGCCTTGGCCTCCCAAAATGCTAGGATTACAGGCGTGAGCCACCGCGCCCGGCCTCAATATATTTTTAAAGAAACAGTTGGAATAAGGTCAGTTAAAAAAATACAAAAACCTTTAAAAAGACTGAAACCATTCTCTTCTGCTATGAAATACTAAGGATAAATTTTAGGCAAATGTACCATTAGGTGTGTTGAGCATATCTGGTGTGGGCTGACCTGACCATTCCATAACCTGCAGTCAAGCAATTGCATCAGCTGAGTAAATGTGCACTGTGGTCAACGTTCCTGGCTTTGAACCCTGGCTTTGCCCCTTCCTGGTCTTGGTCAGGAGTGTGTCTCTCATGCCAGACTGCCTGGATTTGGGTCCTGCAACTATGCACACTGACTGTGTGACTCTGAACTCGTGACTTCACCTTTCTTGGTGTGAGTTTTCTCCTTTCAAAGATGGAGCTAGCACTAGTACCACACACAAGGTGGCTGGAGGGATTGTGCCGTCGCATGCAGAATTCTTGGGACAGGACTTGGCACATTTAAGCACTTAGTAAACATCTCTGGCCTGGTGCCGTGGCTTAAGCCTGTCATCCCAGCACTTTGGGAGGCCAAGGCGGGCAGATCACTCGAGTCCAGCCTGGGCAACATCATGAAACCCCCTCTCTACTAAAAATACAAAAATTATCTGGGTGTGGTGGTGCACGCCTGTAGTCCCAGCTACTCAGGAGGTTGAGGCAAGAGAAGCCCTTGAACCCGGGAGGTGGAGGTTGCAGTGAGCTAAGATCACACCACTTCACTCCAGCCTGGGTGACAGAGTGAGACTCTGTCTCAAAAAAACCCGAAAACCAAAACAAAGAAAACCATCTGTTACCAGTCCAGCCCTCTCCCACAGAACACCTGGAGCCAAATGGGCTCCAGATTTTTTTGGATTTTAGAAAAGTAATGCATGGCATATTCCATATATGCTGAAATACCCCCAGCATGTATTTATTTGGTGTGTAAATATTCATTCTAATTAAAAAAATAGAAACTATAAATCACATCTTCATCAGATTGCCACCAGATGCATGTGGACTTGCATTACTGTTATTAGTGTTTTGCCCCTCCGAGTCTCAGTTTTCTCATCTGTAAAGTCGGGACAAGAGGCAAGGCACTGAGCACAATGCTCAGGAATGTCCCCTTCCTTCCTGGGGATGAATGCAGTCCTGGGAAATCCCTCTGACCTCCACAACCCTCCTGAAAAAGGAGGTGGTTTGGCCTGATTCCACCAAGCCAGCGTACACTTACCTTCTTGCGGCCCCAGCCTCACGGCGTGGGATTCATGCAGGATCTCTGCCACTGGCTTGCGGGTATAGAGGATGGTGGCACCGCTCAGGTTGACCCTCACCCGCTGGGCCCGGGAGGTGAGGTTGGCCAAGCACAGGGCCAGTCTCAGGTCGTGGCCCAGCATGGGAGGCTCTAGCACCTTGAACTTGCCAGCGATGCTGGGCTTGGTGGCAGGCTCCAGGAGGTCGTCACGCCAGAGACAGCGACCCCCAGCCCTGCGGATCCAGATTCTCCTTCCAGAGGCTTCCACGCCGAACAGCCTGTTCACCGCCTTGCTGTACACCTGCCTCTCTTTCCGGGACCCTGCAGGGCATCACACAACGTCAGCGGCAGGCACCCCCTTGCTCCTTTAATTTACTATGGCTCATGGAAGTCAAACTGGCAGTTCAAGAGCCATATGCACACCGGCGCCACATGCCTTGTGTTTGATTCTCTATGTAAATAAAGTTTTAAATCAGTTGCCAGGAAATTTCACATAAAAATGCAAATTTCCAGCTTCTCTGAGAGCTGGGTCAAAAGCCTCAGATAATAATGATAGCTAGCACTTTTGCAGATTTGCTATGTGTACTATAGCACTTGGTGCTATATTTTTTTTCTCTAGGAGGTACTACAGAGGTATTATCATCACCCACATTTAACAGACAAGGAAGCCGAGACACAGGGAAGTAAAGTAACTCCTCAATCACACAGCTTATGTGGTAAGTGAGGGAGCTGGGACTTGAACCAGGCAGTAAAGCTCCAAATTCCATTCATGCTCCCTTACCACTCTCTACATGGCAATAATGGTCTTGAGGCAGGAGGCGGGACTTGACTCAGGAGCTGGGGCTCAAACTCAGGACTAGATTATAGACGAATGGAAACAGGGAGGAGGCAAAAGCACTTCTCTATAAGACATGCCCACCAGTGCTATGGCAACACCCAGAACTTACTACCCCTTTTCAAGGCAATCACCTGGAAGTTACCACCCTTTTCCTAAAAATTTCTGCATAATCTGCCCTTTAATTTGCATGTAATTAAAACTGAGTATAAATATGATTACAGAACTGTAGGGTATAACAACTTCATTCTTTTGCATGTGGGTATACAGCGGTCCCAACACCATTTATTGAAAAGACTATTTTTATTCTTTCTCCATTGAATTGTCTTGACACCCATGTAGAAATCAATTGAACATAATTTTAAGGGCTTCTTTTTGGACTCTTAGTTCAATTTCTTTGATCTATATGTCCCTTCTTATGCCAATGTCACACTGTCGGGGTTTCTGTATATTTGTAGTACTTTTTGTTTGTCTGTTTGTTTTTGAGACAGGATCTCACTCTGTCACTCAGAGCTGCTATGCTGGGCATACTGCCTATGGGGTAGCCCTGGCCCACAAGGAGCAGCACCTTTGCTGTTGCTGCACACTGCTGCTTTAAGAAAAGTTGCTAACACCACTGGCTCATCCTTGAATTCTTTCCTGGGTGATGCCAGGAACCCTCCTGGGCTAAGCCTGCATGCCCTACCTCAGTCTAGAGTTGAGCAATAGCAGCCCCCCCTAGAGGGAACGCACTCTCTTGTTGTCCATGGTCTTCACCCTGTAATTCTCACTCATGGGGTTCTATCGGTGGGGCTCCTGTAGACATGTGAGTTTAGGGCCCCTGATACACCACTTTCCCCACTGCTAGTGCAGACCTCTCTTTTGAGCTCCAGAACAATACAAAGAACTGGACAGCGCCCCCCAGGTGTCTCACAGGTGCCTCAAATCCAACCAAACCCACCAACTGCGCAGCAGCATTCCTCATCCCAGCCAATGGTGCAGCCATGAGCCCGGGTGTACAAGCCAGAAGCCTGGGAGTGTTCTTGACTCTTCTCTCACCTTTATCACTCACAACAGAGCCCTCACCAGGTCCTGCTGAGCATCCTCCTTAGGCTCTGGAATCTGTCCTCTTCTCTCACCTCTCTTCCCCCATCAAACCACCATACAAACTGCCTCACCATGAGGTCAGTGTGTGAACTTTTATTACTGTTTTCATTAATCTGTCCCGGCAAGCTTTAGTTTTCCTATCTGTAAAGTGGGGACAAGAGGCCCACAAGCAAGGCACTGAGCAGGATAATCAAGAACATCCCCTCCCTTCCTGGGAATGTAGGATCCATCCCATTCCAGTTCTGTTTCCACTCTGATGATTCCAAAGTCCAATTCTGATGGTTCTCCTTCCCTATTTGAAACCTGTGGCATGTGGTCTTCACACCACTCTCCCCTGAAGGTACCCTGATACTGTGTGACCCTGGTCTGATCACTTGGTGGTCACTTGATGTTGCTGTGAACACCAAGGTTCTTTAACATTCCATGTTTTATTATTAAAATGTATGTGAGTTCTGCTACTGTACAATATATTTTTACTATGAAAATGTTTCATTTCCCTGCCAAAGAATGTAATGCCACCTTCTCATGGAGGCCTTCTCTGACCACCTGATTTTTTAAACAACTTTATTGAGATATAATTCCATAACACACAATTCACCCATTTTAAGAGTGCAATTCAATGTTTCTTAGTAGTTCACAGAATTGTGCACCCCGTCACCACAATCTAATTTTAGAACGTTTTTTCACCCCCCCCCCCAAATTCTGTAACCATCAGGAGTCACTTCCCATTCCTCCCCACCCCAACCCCAGCCCTAGGCAACCACTAATATAATTCATAATTTGCCTATCCTGGACATTTCATATAAAGGGAATCATACAACACGTGGTCTTTTGTGAAATTTTTCCGCTTAACATCAGTTTTCAAGGTTCGTTCACACTGTAGGTAGCATGTATCAGTACTGCGTTCCTTTTTATTTCTGACTAGCATTCCATTGGATGGATATACATTTTATTTATCTATTGATGGGTATTTGAGCTGTTTCTACTTTTTATCTATTTTAAATAGTGTTTCTATAAATATTCATGTAAAGTTTTTGTGTGGGTGTTTGTTTTCATTTCTCTTGGAAATGTAGCTGGGAGTGCAGTTGCCGGGTCATGGTAACACTATGTTTAACATTTTGAGAAACTGTCAAAGTGTTTTCCAAAGTGGCTGCACAATTGTAAATTTCCACCAGCAATGTATGAGTGTTTCAATTTCTCCACATCTTCACCAACACTAATTGTCTATCTTTTTGATGACGGTAGTTCTAGTGGATGTGAAGTGGTATCTCATTGTGGTTTTGACATGCATTTTCCTAATGACTTAATGATGTTAAGCATCTTTTTATGTGCTTATTGGCCATTTGTGTATGGTCCTTGGGGAAATGTTCATTCACATCCTTTGCCATTTTAAAATTGGATTATTTATTTATTTCTTTATTTTGTAGAGATGGAGTCTTGCTATGTTGCCCAGGCTGGTCTTGAACTCCTAGCCTCAAGTACTCCTCTCGCCTTGGCCTCTCAAGGTGCTAGGATGGGCCAAGCATGGTGGTTCATGCCTTGGACTTTCAGGTGCTCTCAAAAAAAATTATTTTTTTTTTATGGTTGAGTTTTAAGAGTTACATATACATATATTTCAGATGAGAGTGCTTTATCCATTCAATACATGATTTGCAAATATTCTCTCCTATTCCATGGGCTATCTTTCCACTTTCCTGATGGTGCTGTTTGCAGGACAAGTTCTTAACTTTGATAAAGTCCAATTTTTTCCTTTGTTACTTGTGCTTTTGATGTCGTTTCTGAAAAGGCTTGGTCTAACCGAAGATCATGAAGATTTACTCCTATGTTTTCTTCCAAAAGTTTTATAGTTTTAGCTCTCACATGTAAGTCTATAAACCATTTTGAGAAATTTTTGTGTATCGTGTGAGATAGGAGGCCAACTTCATTCTTTTTATTTCCCTTTTTTAAAAATTTTTCATGTAACCAGTGGGGTATAACAACTTCATTCTTTTGCATGTGGGGATGTACAGTGGTCCCAACACCATTTGTTGAAAAGACTATTCTTATTCTTTCTCCATTGAATTGTCTTGACACGCTTGTAGAATCAATTGATCATAATTTTAAGGGTTTATTTTTCAACTCTCAGTTCAGTTTCTTTGATCTATATGTCCATTCTCATGCCAGTATCACACTGTCTGGGTTACTGTATATCTGTTGTAATTTTTGTCTTGTCTGTTTATTTTTGAGACAGAATCTCACTCTGTCACCCAGGGTGGAGTACAGTGGTGCAATCATGGCTCATTGCAACCTCAACCTCCCAGGCTCAAGCAATTCTCCCACCTCAGCCTCCTGAGTAGCTGGTAGCCATGCCACCACACTCAGCTAATTTTTAAAAGTTTTTGTAGAGATGAAGTCGTCCATGTTGCCCAGCTGGCCTGAAGGGAGATTTCCTGAACTGAAGGGAGTCTCCTGACTTGGCCTCCTAAAGTGCTGGGATCACAGACATAAGCCACCATGCCTGGCTGTAGTAAGTTTTGAATTTGGGAAGTATGAGCCCTCCAACTTCTTTTTCAAGATTATTTGGGCTATTTGGGGTTCCCTTGTGTTTCCAAATGAATTTTATGATCAGGTTGCTAATTTGGGGGAAAAAAACTCAGCTGTAACTTTGATAGGATTTTGTTGAGTCTGTAGGTCAATTTTGAGAGTATTGCAATTTTAACAATATAAACCCTTTCGATCAATGAAAATGGGATGCCTTTTCATTTATTTAGATCATTAATTTCTTTCAACAATGTTTTGTAGTTTTAGCATGTAAGTCTTGCTCTTCTTTTGTTGAATTTATTCCTAAGTACTTTATTCTTTTTGATGCTATTGTAAATGGATTTATTTTCTTAATTTCATTTTTGGATTATCCATTGCCAGTATCTAGAAATCTGATTAATTTTTGTATATTGATCTTGTGTTCTGCAAACTTGCTGAACTTGTTTATCATTTCTAATAGCTTTTTAATGGATTCCTTAGGATTTTATATATACAAAATTATGTCATGTGCAAATTTCTTTCCAATTTGGAAATTTCTCTGTTTCCATTTCTCCCTCCCTGTCTTCCTCCCTCTCTTCTTTTGTCTTCTTTCTATTTTAAAAATTGTGATAAAATACATAACATAAAATTTACCATCTTAACCATTTTTAAGTGTATACTTCAGTGTCATTAAGTACATTCATATTGTTGTGTAACCATCACTACCATCTACCCAGAGCTCTTTTCATCTTGATTGAAACTCTATACCTATTAAACAATAATGCCCATTCTCCCCAGATCTTAGCCCCTGACAACCACCATTCTACTTTCTGTCTGTATGAGTTTGGCTACTCTAGGTACTTCATAGATATAAGCGGCCTCATAGAATATTTGTTCTTTTATGTCTGGCTTATTTCACTTAGCATAATGTCCTCAAGTTTCTTCTGTGTTCCAGCATTTGTTGGTATTTTCTTTCTTTTTAAGGCTAAATAATATTCCATTGTATGTATATACCACATTTTGTTTATTCATTCATTCAGTGATGGACACTTGGGTTGCTTTCACCTTTTGGCCATTTTGATGAGATTGGGCGTATTCAGGGTGGTATGGCTATAGATGTTTTGGCTACTTTGAATAATGCTGCTCTGAACATGGGTGTACAAATATCTCTTCGAGGTCCTGCTTTCAATTCTTTTGGGCATATACCTGGAAGCTGAATTGCTGGATTGTATGATAATTCTATTTTTAATATTTTGGCAACATATTCAAGACATCAGTGCCAAATCCAACATCATGAAACTTTTCTCCTATGTTTTTTTCTAAGAGTTTTATAATTTTAGCTCTCACATTTAGACCCTTGATCCATTTTCAGTTAATTTTTCTATATAATGTAAGAGTCTAACTTCAGTCTTTTGCACATAGATATCCAGTTTTCCCAATACAATTTTAAAAAAGATATCTATTTCTTTTTCTTGCTTAATTTCCCTGGCTAGTACTTCCATAAAAATGACGAATCAACATGACAAAAAAGGACATCTTGGTCTTGTCCCTGATTTTGGGGTGTAAATGTTCAACGTTTCACTATTAAGTATCATTTTAGCTGTAGCTTTTTTATAGGTGACTTATCAGACTGAGGAAGTTTACTTCTATTCTTAATTTGTTGAGTGTTTTTTTTTATCATAAAGGGGTATGAGATTTTGTCAAATGCTTTTTCTGCATCTATTGAGATGATCATGTTATTTTGTCCTTTTTTCTATTGATACGGTGTATTATATTAGCTGATTTTCAATGTTAAACCCATCTTGTATTCTTGGGATAAATCCCACTTGCTCATGGCATATAATCTTTTTTATATGTTGCTGAATTCAGTTTATCAGTAAGCTGAATTCATTCCATATTCATGAATTTTTGCTTTCATTGTTGATTTTTGCTTTCACATTCATAAGGGAGATAGATATGTAGTTTTCTTTTCTTCTGATGTCATCTGGTTTTGGTATCAGGATAATACTGACTTCACAGAATGAGTTGAGAAGTATTCCCTCATCTTCTACTTTTTGGAATAATTCATGAATAATTGATATTAGTTCTTTTAATATTTGGTAGAATTCACCAGTGACATAATCTGGGCCTGATTATTTCTTTGTGGGAAGTTTTCATATTACTAGTTCATTATGAACTATTACTAGTTTTTTACTTGTTGTGAATCTATTCAGATTTTCTATTTCTTTTTGAGATAGTTTTGGTAAGAAAGTGTCTTTCTAGAAATTTACCCATTTAATCTAAAGTTATCTAATATGTTGTCACGCAGTTGCTCATAGTATCCCCTAATAAACTGTCATTAATTATAGCAATTCTGACTCTAAAAGTGTGGGGGTTTCTCATAACAACCAGTTCTCCAACTCTCTGGACACCAACTGGGTCTCCAGTTCAATTCAGTTCAATTCAATTCTAACAGTAGCTACCTGGAGTTAGCATCAGACTCCACACGTTGAAGGGCTCAGTCCCACAAGACTGAGACTTCAGACTCCAGTCACAAGTGTTGGTTACTCGGGGTTACTCACACTTCTGTCCAACTTTGCTACAGATTTGGGGTTCTCATAACTGGCCCCAGCCTTAGGTTTCATAATTTGCTAGAGGGGTTCACAGAACTCAGAAAAACAGTTTACTTACCATTCCTGGTTTGTTATGAAGGATATAACTCTGGAAGAGCCAAGTGGGAGAGATACACAGGGCAAGGTATGGCAGGGGGCAGGGGTGGTGTGGGGTTTCCATCTCCTCTCTAAGCATGCCACCCTCTCAGCACCTCAATGTCTTCCCCAACCTGGAACCTCTCCAAACCCCATTGTTTAGCAGTTTTTACAGAGTTTCATTACATAGGCATGACTGATTAAATCATAGGCCTTAGGTGATAAACTCAATCTTCAGCCTCTCTCCCCTCCCTGGAGGTCAGAGATGGGGTTTAAAGTCCCCAATCCCTAATCATGCCTTGATTTTTCAGGCAACCAGCCCCCATGCTGAAAGTGATCTAGATGCCCCTAGTCATCTCACTAATGTGCTATATAGCTGATGCTCTTCTCATTCTGAAGACTCCAAGAGTTTTAGGAGCTGTGTGCCAGAAACTGGGGATGATAACCAAATACTTTTCTTTAAAAACCACACTCTATAGTTCTTTTCATTTTTGTAGGGTTGGTAGTGACATCCTCTCTAATTTTAGTAATTTGATTCTTCTCTTAGTCTAGCTAAAGGTTTATCAATTTTGTCAGTCTTTTCAAAGAATCAACTGGTTTTGTTGATTTTCTTTTATGATTTTTCTGCTCTTTATTTCATTAACATTTATTTCCACTTTAATCTTTCTTGTTTCCTCTTTCTGCTTTTTTAGGTGTTTAGTTTGCTCTTCTTTTTCTAGGTTCTTTTTTTTTTTTTGAGACAGTCTCGCTTTGTGATCCAGGCTGGAGTGCAGTGGCCTGATCTCGGCTCACTGCAACCTCCGCCTCCCAGGTTCAGGTGATTCTCTTGCCTCAGCCTCCCGAGTAGCTGGAACTATAGGTGCATGCCCCCACACCCAATTAATTTTTGTATTTTTAGTAGAGACAGGGTTTCCCAATGTTGGCCAGGCTGGTCTCGAACTCCTGACCTCAGGTGATCTGCACACCTCGGCCTCCCAAAATGCTGAGATTATAGGCGTGAGCCACCACATCCAGCCATTTTTCTAGGTTCTTAAGGTAGAAGATTAGGCTATTGATTTGAAATCTTTCTTCTTTAATATAGGTTTTACGGCTATAAATTCCCCACTGTGTACTGCTTTAGCTGCATCTTATAAATTTTGGCATATTGCATTTTCATTTTCTTTCACTGCAGAGTATTTTCTAATTTGACTTGTGATCTTTCCTTTGGCTCACTGGATATTTAGACGTATGTATTGTTTAATTTTCACATATTATAAATGTATCAAATTCTCTTCTGATACTGATTTCTAATTTAATTCTATTGGAATAAGATTATACACTTTGTATGATTTCAATCCTCTTAAGTTTACTGAGGCTTATTTTATGGCTGAGCATATGGTCAATTCTGGATAATGCTACCCTTCTACTTTCCAAGAATGTGTATATGTTGCTGCTATAATGTGGAGTCTTCTATAGGCGTCTGTTAGAGTCTACCTGATTTTAAATGACAAATGTTCGCTTCCTCTCAACCAGTCCCTAAACTCTTTCCCTTCTTTATTTTTCCCCAAAATACTTATCAGTATCTGAAATACTAGTTATTTTACTTATTTGTTTACTTTTACCTGCCCCACTAGAATGTCAGCTCCTTTATCCTTTAAGATAAAGATCATACGCATTTTGTTCACTGGTTGCCTGGCACTCAGTAAATGCTCAATAAACACATGCCAATAGAAAAAAATGTGAAAATGTGGCTTATATGTCCTGTAGCTTCACATAAGCCAGTCCTGCAATCAACAAAACAAGGCCCTTCTTGATACAGCTCAGACTCCTTATGGCATTAAAAGCCCTTCATATGCTGTTGGCCCCAATTCATTCATTCCGTGAATCTGTACTGAGCACCTACTATGCAGTTGATGCTGCTGTAGGAGTTGGGGATACGGCAATGAACAAAACAGTCAGGCTTCCTGCCATCCTAGAACTCTCAGTCTAGGAGCATTCTAGGGAGACAACAAAGATTCAAGCAAATATCAAGTTGCGATATGTGCTTAGAAGGAAGTCAATAGGGTGCTGAGACCCCTGGCCAGGCAAAAGTTTGGGGTGAAGTCAGCAGGTCCTTCCCAGGCAAAGAAAGCATCTTGTGCCAAGTCCTTTAGGTATAAAAGAGCATGTTGTACCCAGGGGCTCTGAATCTTTGTGCTCTAGCTCTAGCATGTGTCCTGGTTCCACAGACAGAGCAAGGGCTCATGACTCAGAGAGGCACAAGCCCCTGTCATTTCATCTATAGAATACTGCTCATGCAAGTCAAGGATGTCTTGGCTTGCCTGAGCAATATTGCCCAGCATGAGTCTGGAATCCTGTTGGACTCTGTCTTCCTGGAATGCCTTCTCAACCTTTCATCTCCTGGCTAAATCTTACTCCCTTCAGCATTCCCTCCCATAGGCTGCTTTTCCTGATACCTTCTGCCCTGGTCGAATTAGAGACTCCTCCTCTTTGTTCCTTTAGCCTCTGGATGCCCCAGTAGAGTGCCAGTCACTCCGAATTATTCTGTGCTGTCAGCTCACCATGTGGTGAGTTCTCTGGGGACTTCTCTTTGTCCCCTTGCCTCTGAATCATGCCTGACACTCAGGAGGGTCTCTACTTTGAGAGCACATGAAAAAGCCTAGCATGCTGTATGGCACACCAAGGCCACTCAGCGAAGATGTGCAGTCTAGCATAGCAGGGAGGGCAGAGGCCCTAAGAGTAGACTGCCTCGTTAGAATTCCAGCTCTTCTGGGCTTTGGAAACTTGGGGAAGTTACTTAACCTCCCTGTACCTCAGTTTGCTTATCCATAAAATGATTTTATTTTATTTTTTGAGACAGAGTCTCGCTCTGTAGCCTGGAGTGTAGTGACGTAATCTCTGCTCACTGCAACCTCCGCCTCCTGACAGCAAGCAATTATCTTGCTTCAGCCTCCTGAACAGCTGGGACTACAGGCAACCACCACCACGCCCAGCTAATTTTTGTATTTTTAGTAGAAATGGGGTTTCGCCATGTTGGCCAGGCTAGTCTTGAACTCCTGACCTCAGATGATCTGCCCACCTTGGCCTCCCAAAGTGCTGGGATTGCAGGCGTGAGCCACCATGCCTGGCTCATAAAATGATTTTAAAATAAATATTAAATGAAATAATGCTTGGACATTGCTTACCATTTTGCTTAGCAAGTTCTAGATACTGTTACTATTATTTTTGTTAACCTAAATGTAAAATCACGTTGCCCACAGTAGGCAGTCAATAAACAGTAGACAATATTATAATTAAATAGTGGCAGTGCAGTGCAGAGTGAGGAGCATGGGCTCTGGGTTCTGCAGGAGAGTTCTCCCTTACTAGCTATGTTCTCTGGCTGGGTCAACTTGCCTCTCTGTACATCTGTCTTCTCCTCTGTAAAATAAACTTTGTACTAGTGTCTCACTTAAAAGCTCATGGTAAGGGCTTTGTAAACATTTGTTAAATAAAATGACTACATAACATGTGAAAATGGCCAGCCCACAGCCAGCGCTCAGTAACAGTGATTGTCATCACTGTTATCATGTAACAGGATGTTAATTTCTCCTGTGGCCATGGTTTTTTTTTTTTTTTTTTTTTTTTTTTTTTTTTTTGAGGAGTTTCGCACTTGTTGCTGAGGGTGGAGTGCAGTGTGCGATCCTGGCTCACTGCAACCTCCGCCTCCCAGGTTCAAGCAATTCTCCTGCCTCAGCCTCCCAAGTAGCTGGGATTACAGGCATGGGCCACCATGCCTGGCTAATTTTGTATTTTTAGTAGAGACGGGTTTTCGCCATGTTGGCCAGGCTGGTCTCGAACTCTTGACCTCAGGTGATCTGCCTGCCTCGGCCTCCCAGAGTGCTGGGATTATAGGTGTGAGCCACTGCACCCAGCTGGTCATAGTTAAATCTTAGGACAAAAGACCCACAGACCTCATGTACTTTTTTTTTTTTTTTGAGACAGGGTCTCACTGTGTTGCCCAGGCTGGAGTGCAGTGGCACAATCTTGTCTCACTGCAACCTCTGCTTTCCAGAATCAAGCATTCCTCCCACTGGAGCCTCCTGAGTAGCTGGGACTACAGGCATATGCCACCATGCCTGGCTAATTCTTTTGTATTTTTTATAGAGATGGGGTTTTGCCATGTTGCCCAGGCTAGACCCCACGTTCTAAGTTCCAGAAGCTCCCAGCTGAAGGGACCCAGCAATCAATCTGCAGGTCTTATCAGAGAGGTGGCAGCTCAGAAGAGGCCTTACCACATAGTCCCCTCATCCATAGCCCATCCCCAAGACAGTAAGAAGACAGCTAAAGTGGAAGATGTCTTTGACAGTCAAGAAAGTGCCATGTTCCTGGAGATAGGAGCTAAAGTGTGAGTTGGGGGTGTGAGTAGGTGTTTAAAAGAATCAGTGTTAAGGTTTGGGGGTATCTTCAGCAAGAAATGACTGGCTGATCAAGATTGGGGGTGCCTACAGAAAGGGAAGTTGGTATTCTCCTCCCTGTGGGAGGTCTGTTTATCCCGTCTTACTTACTAAGCCATGTACTACCTGAGCAGGGAGAAGAGAATTGAAGGGAGACAGCAGGTGGGAGACAGCCAGTCAAGACTGCTCCTTCTACCCACAAGTGTCAGGTTTCAGTTCCCAGCCTTGGAGTGGGACACAGTGGAGGTTAGGGTTGGGGGCCACAGCCTTGTAAAACCTCTGCAGAACTTGGGGACAAAAATCACCATGCATCAGAAAGAAGCTGTGTTGAAAGGACCCAAATAGCACAAGAAATCAGCAGTGTCTAGAGGAACAGCACAGGAATTAGTCTGGATGGCAGCAGGTTGTGATGGAGCCACCATCTGTCCTCAGCAAGCATAGATAGGAAACTAGGGCAGCAGCACCCACCCACTTAGCCAGCACTGAATCCTCACCCAGTTAAGACAAAGGCATCTGCTCTCTTCTGTCCTCTTTGCCTCCCTCTTAGCCTAACAGTGCTCTCAGCATTGGTTGCACACTAGAGACCACCTGGGAGCTTTAAAAAGTCCCAGTGCCAAAACCACATCCCGTAGAGACTATGATTCAATTAGTCAGGGGTGGAATCTGGCCTGCTGTGGTAGATTAAAAATGGCCATAATGCCTTACAACTTCCCACCCCTTGAATCTGGATTGGGCTCATGAATTGCTTTGACCAATAGAATGTGGCAGAAGTGACATGGTGCACATTCTGAGCCAGGCCTCTAGAAACCTCACAGCTTCATCTCTCACCTTCTGGGAATGTTGCTGCTATTCAGAAAAGCATGGGCTGGCCTGTTGGGACATGAGAGGCCGAGTGGGAACACAGACCCAGCCATCTCAGCAGTCCCACGTGACAGACATATGTGAGATCCCAGCCAGCACCACCTGGAGAAGATGAACCATCCCAGCTGAGCACAGCCCAAATTGTTGACCCACAGAATTGACCAAATAAGTAATTATTGTTTAAGATATATAACTGAAACAGCTCCCTGGATAATTCAAATGTGCAACAAGGGGCTAGGTGCAGTGGCTCATGCCTGTAATCCCAGCACTTTGGGAGGCTGAGGTGAGTAGATCACCTGAGGTCAGGAGTTCAAGGGCAGCCTGGCCAACATGGTGAAACCCCGTCTCTACTAAAAATACAAAAATTAGCTGGGCATGGTGGCGGGCACCTGTAATCCCAGCTACTTGGGAGGGTGAGGCAGGAGAATTGCTTGAACCCAGGAGGCGGAGGTTGCAGTGAGCTGAGATCACATTATTGCGCTCCAGTCTGGGCAACAAGAGTGAGATTCTGTCTCAAAGAAAAAAAAAAAAGTGCAACCAGAGCTGTAAAATATGATGCTAGAGAGCAGAAAAGGGAGGCGAGGAGGTGTTCAGAGCAGATTGTGTCTCCTCTTTAGCAACCTTCCAGGGTCACTGCTCTAGCTTGTGCTCAGGGGACAGGAGGAGACAGGGTCTAATTCAAGTTTGAGCTTGAAGTCATAATTACTTGGTGACATGGATTTAACAAGCAGAAATGGTTGAAAATATGTTAATCAGATCATAACATTGCTAAGGAACCTGTTACACAGTGGGAAAGGGAGATTTTTAAAGTATATAGTTGGAAACAGCTATAAGAAAAAATACAACTGTTTTGTTTTTGTAGCCTAACAAGTAGGGGCTCTTCAATGAACCAATGGCCATAAATTGGTATCACGGCACAGGCCCTGGCAGATGCTAAACAGGAGATGCTATTATTATTAGTCTGAATTGGGCCTGTGCCATGCGTTTGTCCTAGGTGTTCAATAAATAATACCTGCTACTATCATCATTATTGTTACTAGTAGTGATTATTGTATGTGAACATACCTAATGCAGTGCCTGGTATATGGCAAGTGTTCAAGGAGATGTAGCTATTATTATTACAAATGGGAAATCTTCTAAGGTAGAAGAGGTGCTTAGCAAACAGAGGAAGCTATTAATGTAGCCTAAATAAAGGCACTTGGCTCAGAGCACAGAGACAACGTGAATGGAAGCTGCTGTCAGCGTCATATACATGGGGTGAGGCCTGGCTCCAGGCCACCTGCAGTGGGCCCTCTGCAGCTGATGGGCCATCCGGGGGAAGGTAATAAAGGCCGCCATGTGGCCCTTACCTTCCGGATACTTGTAGAGGTCAGTGATGTCCACGCGGGAGTCACTGCCCACCGCCTTGGTGCTGATGCATCTCCCAATCTTCTTCGTGTTTGAGTATACACGCTCCCGGCTCTCATCCTCGTGCCACAGCCAGGTGATGTAGTCGGCGTTGACCTCCGCAAACACGAAGGGGCCATCGTGAGCCAGGTGCACATCACCCTCGCGGATGGCGGTGACTGAGGCTGGGCCGCACCGGAACACACCTGGGCAGGAGGGGTGGGCATGAGCAGCATGGGTAAGGAAAAGCAGGGGTCTGGAACTTACCCCACCCAATTGAGCGTACCTTCACTCTCCTCCTGGGGGGTGGCATCCAGAACCTGCCAGCCATTGTAAGAGGGGCCTAGGTCCTGCCGGGCAAACCAGCTCTCATTCCAGACATGGAAATTCCTGCCACAGAGAGAGGATGGGTGAAGCTGCCTAGAGTGAGGGCATAGGAAGGGAAGATCCTACTGAGAGGCAGGCCCTGGGCTCCCTACTTTCCACAAGAACTGTGGCTGCATGTTGTGAATCACTCATTCAACCACATGAATGAGCACACAGCATTCACATATGTTTGTATATATATGTGTATGTGTGTATATAGATGTGTGTGTACATTTATCAAGAACCTGTTGTTCAAGGTACTGCAACTAAGACAGAAGATCTTTACTCTCATGCTGCTTACATTCTAACAAAGGAGACAGGCAAAGCTAAGTCAGCAGATAAATCAAACAAATGCAAGTGACAATAAATGTTAGGAAGAAAAAGAGGGGCTTAAGCTAGAGAACAACCCCTATAGACCTACTCTAGGTAAATGACATTGAAGGTGAGACTTCAGTGAGAAAGAATAAGCTATAGGAAGAGTGAAGGGAACAATATTCTAGAAAGAAGGAACAGCATGTGCAAAGGTCCTAAGTGAGACAAGAAAAGGCCTTGTGTGTTCAAGGAGCAGAAAGTATTTAAGTATCTCTGGGATATGGCCAGCAGAGGGGGTAGGTAGGGTTCTGATTATGCAGAGCACCATAGACTCTGGTAATTCCAGCCTTATTTTTAATTCCCCGTGTTAAAGATGAGAATATGAGTAGGAAACATGACATCACCTGCTCAAGGTCTTGCAGAAAGAAAGGAGCAGACAGAAACCTGATTCCCGGTTTGCCTGACTTGGCATCTTTACAGCCGGCCTCAGAACTCCTCTTCGGCAGGCAACTGTTTTTGTTGGGGAAAGTATGTTGATTAGCATTTGGGGATTAAAGGTGGGACCCTGATAACCTGGGTGGTGACAGAGTCCCCAACATCAAAATGAAGTGTCTGTGCTTTCTGCATGAAGAAAAGAGAAGAATGCGAGTATTTTGTGCTTCCAGGGCAAGGGAATGAAGAGAACCAAAAAAGAGGAGAGGCCAAGGGGAGCAAAGAGATGGTCTGAGCTGGAGGCCAGCTCGGGAAGGGCTCCTGGCACGCTCCCCTGGGGAACAAGGATACAAGGCTCTCTGTGTCTCTGTGTTGTGTTTTCTTCACTGTCTCTCCTAATCTTTATTTTTTAATTTTTATTTATTTATTTATTTTGAGATAGAGTCTTGCTCTGTCACCTAGGCTGGAGTGCAATGGCACAATCTTGGCTTACTGCAACCTCCGCTTCCCAGGTTCAAGTGATTCTCACGCCTCAGCCTCCCCAGTAGCTGGGGAGGTGTGTGTCACCACACCCGGCTAATTTTTTTTAATTTTTATTTTTAGTAGAGATGGGGTTTCACCGTGTTGGCCAGGCTGGTCTCGAACTCCTGACCTCAAGTGATTTGCCAGCCTCGGCCTCCCAAAGTGTTGGGATTACAGGTGCGAGCCACCGCGCCCAGCCATCTCTCCTAATCTTTAGAAAGTTGGCTTTGAGTGGCAGACTTGCACATGTGTGAACAGACATTTGAACAAGGTTATTCACTGAAGCCTTGTTTGTAAAGGCAAACTTGTTTTTAACTGAGGCAACTGAAATGTCCATCCATATGGGATGGTTAGATGAACAATGGCTTTTTCATGCAATTGAGAGGCAGACTGGGTTCATACCCTTATGCTTCCACTCACTAGCTGTGTGGCCTTGGATGGGTTACTTAACCTCTCTGTGCTTCAGTTTCCTCATCTGCGAAATAGAATCAATGATCTTAACTTATTCACAGGTTGTTTGAAGAAATACATGAGTTAATCTATATATAGCACTTAGAACTGGACCTGGCACAGACTAGGTGCTTGGTGGGTGTTACGTTATTACTTAAAACATTATGGAAAATAAGGAAAACTCTGTGTATTTACGTGGAATTGTTAAATGTTCCAGCAAGAACAGTATCACATAAAGCTGCCAATACTGTTTAAGCAGGGAAAAGGCGGGGAGGCACTGTAGGTATGTATGTGCTCGTGTCTGCAGAGCATCTCTCTGACAGGAGATGTAGCAGACAGTGATAGTGTTGCCTCCAGGAGGAGGATGGGGAGGCTGGGGAACTGGGCGGGAGGGAGACATCACTGCAACCCATTTTGTACCTTTCAAATATTAAACCACATGAATGTTTTTCCTATTTCAGAAAATTAAGTAAGTTAGAATGAATTTTTTTTTTTTTGAGACGAAGTCTCACTCTGTCACCCAGGCTGGAGCGCAGTGGCATGATCTTGGCTCACAGAGGCAACCTCTGCCTTCCAGGTTCAAGCGATTCTCCTGCCTCAGCCTCCAGAGTAGCTGGGACTACAGGCGCCTGCCACGATGCTTGGCTAATTTTTGTGTTTTTAGTAGGGATGGGGTTTCACTATGTTGACCAGGGTGGAGTGTAATGGTGTGATCTCAGCTCGCTGCAACCTCTGCCTCCTGGGTTCAAGCAATTCTCCTGCCTTAGCCTCCTGAGTAGCTGGGATTACAGGTGTGAGCCACCGTGCCTGGCCTGGAATGAATTTTTTAAAGCTTTATGTGAAGAATTTTGTTTTAGCTAAGGAAGGAGTCTGTTTCCCACCTGAGACACACAACACGGAGAACCGCAGCTGATACGGAAGCAGGAGCCTGATCCAGAGGTACCTGTGCAGAAGGAGTTCCCACCCCACCCCACCCCAGGAAGCCACAGATTCCCAGACAGAGTAGAACCGGGCGTTCAAGGCAATCAAATCTTGAGGCCCCTCCTGACCTCTGAGTCTACATCTCTTGACCTCAGACCTTACATCTTGGAAGAGGCACCACTATCCGCAGGGCGCCTCTCACTCCCTCCAGAGCCGGCTCAGATTCAGGAGAGCTGGGCTCTGGGCCTGCCGCTCCCTGGTGGTGTTATGGAAGATGAGGCCTTGCTCCACCTGCTGGGCTTCCAGAGCCCTCGGGCCTAGGCTGGGGGCAGGACCCACCACATGCTGTCTTCTGTCAGGTCCTCCAGGGTCCGCCCGAAGGAGTCCACGTATTTGTCCACACTCAGGTTCTGGTCTGTGTCGTGGGCTGAGTTGAAGTTGGACACGACCCGTGTGGCTATCCCCAAGCACCTGAGGACTGCAGAGCAGAGAGGCTCGGAGCAGGCGGGACCCTGGCCCCTGAGAGAGGGGCCTGGCTTCCACAGCAGGCGCCCTGGCTCATTTGTGGCCAAAGCCCTCTGCCACCCCATCTTTGTCTGTGTGTCTAGTTCATCAGGTTGTGGGGCTGAGACTCCCATCTCCACTCTCAGAAATGCCACCATCTCCTGCACGTTCTCTCAAGGACTTCAGGATATGCTGTTGCCACCTCATGTAAGTAGACAGGCTTTGAGGCTGGCAGGAACTTGGAAGCCACCTAATAGAGCCCTCATCTTCCTGAGGGGACTGGAGGCCAAGGGAGCCGCAGGGCTCGCCCAAGGCACTCAATGAATGAGAGACAGAGGGAGCTAGGACTCCTTCAAGATAAAAGATCAGATATGAAGGAAATAAATTCTCTGGCTTCTCTCTTCATCAGCCAGACTTCGTTCTCCCTGTCAATGAATCCATCAATGAAGATGGGTTGCAGCATATGCAAATATATGTAAATACATTTAGATAGAGGAAGCTGGGGGCACAGGTACCCTGGGGCCCTTCTCTCCCAGGGTACCTGTGCACAGGACTCCGGCGAAGACCCAGCACTGGCCGTACTTGACTGGCTTGTACCTGCCCTTGAGCCACTTCTGCAGAATGGCCACGCTGCCGCGCCAGTGCAGCGGGCTGGTGCCGCCGCCGTACTTGCCCTGCCACTGTCCTTGCACCACACCTCGGTCGTTGTTGCTGTTCACCTGGGCAGAGGAGGGCACGGGTCCACAACCAGGCAGGGCTTCCTACCTCAAGAACCGCATCGTGGTCAAATCCTGTCCAACTTTGGACCACCAGGTCCATCGGGGTCACTCTTGCTTTTTAACTGTCTGAAAATTAGGGGCATCTGTTGCCTTAAAATACCTACTTCCTGGTAGCACTTGTCATTTTCAATTATCTTCCATTTGGATACTGTGTTGTAAAAATCATTACAACTTTAGAGCATTTCCTATGTTAAATGATCTGTTTTGGGGGACTGTTGGCATAATCATTATAGGGACAGCTAACATTTATTAAATGCTCATTGTGTGCCAGACACCACTATGCCAAGAATTTTGTGCACACTATATTAACCTGTTGAAGTTTACAATGTAGGTTTCATTATTCTTTTTTTTTTTTTTTTTCAGATGCAAAAACTGAGCTTCAGAAGCATTCAGGGACCTGCCCAAATCACACAGCAAGTTAGTCCAAGTGGTGATCCATGAGTCTAGGACTTGGACTTGGGAGCCTTGAGTTCAGGACTTTCACTGTCCTCAGGGCTGTGATGCTCTGCTGTTTGGGATTGTCACTCATGTTAATTCTCTGTGCTCCAACTGCTCTCTGAGGTCTTGAGGAATTGAGAGTATCAAATAGGAGAAATATAGCTTTGTGCAATTTTGGAATCTCAGATACCCACCCACTGACCTTAATACCTGCATGTGGTAGAGGGAGGTGGTGGGCCCTGCAGACACCTTTTGGGAGGAAACACCATAGCCTGAGGCCTGTGATAGGTTAAAGTTGTCATGCCTCCCACGGAGAGGTGGGTCTATGTCCCACTCAAGAAGAGGGTTCCTCTTGAGTCTGGGCTGGCCTGTGACTAATTTGACCACTGACTATGGTGGAATTGATGTTGTGCCAGTTTCCAGGCCTAGACCTTATAAGACTGGGAGCTTCCACTTCCTCTTTCTTGGAAGAATTGCTTGGGGCAGGGAGGTGGGGGTGGGGAGCCATTGCTATGCATGAAACTGCCATATTGTGGGGAAGCCCAAGCTAGCCACATGGAAAGGTTGTGTAGAAAGAGTGATGACTGGTGGGTCCCAGCTGCTCCAGCCACCCCAGCCCAGAACCTGACATGAGGGTGGGGAAGCCATCCTGGACATTCCAGTTCCAGGAGACATGACATGGATGGCAACCTAGGAACTGCCAACCACCAGAACCAAAGCCCCAGACAGAGGTCCTGTTAAACCATCCCAGACATATGCAGTCATTAAGATATCCCCAGAAGAAGCATCTTGGAGTGGAACCAAACCATTCTCATGGTGCCCTGCCCAAATTCCTAGTCTAAAAAACAGTAAGCATAATAAAGGGTTGTTTTACACCACTGAGTTTTGGGGTGGTTGGTTCTGCAACAACAGCGAATTAAAACAAGGGGTGATGGGAAGAATCACAGGTTGTGGCCCCGGGGTTGGCTGGGGGATCCTTGAGGAAGTACATGTGCAGGGATGGAGGGGCTTCTCACCATGGCACTGATGACCCTGGTGACGTAGATGGGGTTGTGGCGGCAGGACACGTCGGTGGCTGGGTTGTTTTGGTGACCGGGGCTTCGATCCAGGATGGAGAGGCAGATGTTCAGGATGTCCTCCTCAAACTGCTCCCCAGAGAGGCTGTGCTTAGAGGCTGCGTTCAGTCACCCATATTCCAGGCCCTCCCACAGCCCTCACCCGGTCAGTCACCCCATCTGTGCAGGGCAGTTTGCTGCCCCCTCCAACCACCAGGGGCATCACAGAGCACCCCCTAGTCTTGGAAACCCTTCCTCAAAGAGTCACCTGGGGAATCAGAACCTCAGCCTTAATCATGTCTCTCCCCTGCTCAACAATCTCCTGTGGCTCCTGACTACCCACAATAAAGTCTGAGCTAAAATCGGAGGCTCTCGAGCCACATCCACCTCGCTGATATGCTCATTTGGTCTACATGATGTTTTCAAACACATTTGAATTAGTTAACAACATTTAAAAATTGGGGAATTTTTGCATACACATTTAGGTTTCTGGTCTCTGATAATTTGGAAGGTCTGGCAACAAAAAGTGGGTGCTGAGTAGTGGCTACCCCTTAGGTGGACCCTAAACTCTTCACTATAACTTCCCTGCCCAGCACCCGAATCCCAAAGCCTTTAAACCCCTGGCCTGCAGGGCAGTGCGTGACTCCTCAGCCTGACAGTCAAGTCCAGTCTTTCTTCCACCGGGGACCTGGAGCTCAGGCAGACAGAATTCCTCTAGCAGACTCAAGACTCCCTACTTCCCACGTCCGTGCGGCTCTGCCTGCTCTTCCCTCTGCCTGGGCAGATCCTGCCTCACTGTAGAGACCCAACTACAATATCACGTAAGCCTCCACAATGGCCGAAGTGGAGGTTCCTTTCACCCTCTTCTGGACTCCCTTTGCTTCCATCCCTATCATTCTGACTTTTTCCTTCCCCTATTGCACCTGGTATTGGAACTACTTATCTAAGCCAGTGGCTGTTAAAGTGTGGTCTTAGGCCAGCAGCATCAGCATCACCTGGGAACTGGTTAGAAACGCACATTCTCAGGCCCTGCCCAAGACCTACTCAGTCGGCAGCTCTGGGGGTGGGGTCCAGCACGCCATCCCTCCTGGGATTCTGATGTACGCTCGTGTTTGAAAACCACTGATCAGAGCTATTCATTTTTCCACAACCATACTGACCTGTTCTGTGTCCAAACCTTGTCCAAAGCACCTCCCCTTCCCCAGGACCCAGTGCAGGCCCTGGCCCAGTGAATAGTAGATGAATGAATGAATGAGTGGGTTTTCTCTAGGAGTGAGCCCCCCTTGTCCCTCCTGAGAAGAGTGAGCAGACAGAGGGACTCCAGTCCCACCGACCTCCCCATGCCCCAGCCCACATCCTTGTCTGGCCTGTGCCCCTGGAGACCTGCCCGTAGTTCCAGCCCTGGGCTCGTATGTGCTTCTCCACGCCTCGGAAGATGATGCCGCTGTCGCTGAGCACGTACTCCTGTCTCTCCTCCTCTGAGGCCAGAAACACATCGTCCTCTGAAAAGCAGTCATCAGGCCCGGTGTGGACTGGGGCTCTGGCCTTGCTGGCCTGGGGAAGGGGCTGCATCAGGGATCAGCAGCAGGGCAGCGCCCGGAGGCTGACTGGGGCAGGAGAGGTCAAGAGGGGGCTTGCGAGCTCCCGTGCTGCCTCCCTGCCAAACTCCATCCCTCCTGGCAAGTCTTTAACCAAGCAGGGACCAATCCCAAAAGAGTTTTATGGGAACTGACAGCTTTGGGTGGGCCTCCTTGATGTCAGTAGTAGCCTCATATTTCTCATATTTCCTTCTTTTTTTCTTATTTTCTTTTCTTTTTTTTTTTTTTTGAGATAGAGTTTTGCTCTTGTTGCCCAGGCTGGAGTACAATGGCGCAATCTTGGCTCACTGCAACCTCCACCTCCTGGGTTCAAGTGATTCTCCTACCTCAGCCTCCCGAGTAGCTGGGATTACAGGCGTGTGCCACCACAGCTGGCTAATTTTGTATTTTTAGTAGAGACGGGATTTCTCCATGTTGGTCAGGCTGGTCTTGAACTCCCCACCTCAGGTGATCCCCCTGCCTTGGCATCCCAAAGTGCTGGGGTTACAGGCGTGAGCCACTGCACCCGGCCATATTTCTTAAATATTAATAATAATACTGATCCTGGCCACCCCTTACTAAGGCCTTATGATGTATCTCATACATTACAAGTATTAGCCCTATGGGTGTTCACCATAGTCATAAGAGGTAGGCACTGTTATTTTTCCCATATTACAGATGAGGAAATGGAGACTGGTAGAGGAGAGCAGCTCAGCACAGCTGGGACTAAACCAAGGCAGTCTGATTCCCAAGTCCTGGCTCTTACCCACCCCTGGGCCTCTCTTGCCCACTGGGTCCTCTGGCATAGGCTTTGAAGCACCTGCTACCAGGTTTCTCTGACCATTGCCTACCTCTGCCTAGGCTAAGTTCTTGCCCAGCTCTTGGCATTCAGCTTCTTGTCCTTTAACCCACCTCCCAGGCCCCCTCCAAGGGCAGGCTCTCCTCTAAGGATGTCTTTTGGAAAAACCTCTGCATTGGACTTGGCCACTCCTACCTGCACACCATGGGTTGAAAAGGAGAACAAACTCGCCCAGCCTCCGGTTGCTGTGTTTGCGGTGAGAGGAAAGCCTGATGCTCAGCAGGTAGCGGCCAATGACAGCACTGGGAGGGCTGGCGAGACTGACGGTCAGAGTTTTCTCCATCTGAGCCTCCCTTGCTGCTGTCCAGCCCTCACCCCGCTCCAGCTCCGATGTCTGGAACACAGCTTTGGTGTGGAGGGCCTCAGAAGCCCGGGGTCCTGGAGGAGAGGAGAGGGAATCAGGAGACCCTTCCCCTGGGAAACCCAGCTTTAGAGAAGTGAAAAAAGCTACAGGCCTGGAAGCCCCACCTTCACCCCCTGAACTTCTGGGAGGCTTTGGGAGAAGGACCTGACAAAGAGCAAGAAGGCCAGTGGCCAAGTGAGGGTCCACCTCAGCTGCCCTGACATCCCAGCCACTTCCAGGCCAAGGAGAAAGTGACAGCATCCTTTGAAACCAAAGTCTGCCTATGTCGGGCCAGGAAAGGAAAGAAAAGCTTGGGCTTCAAAGTGCTTGACGGGTTTTCATACCCTTCCAGAGCCCTGGGTGTCTGGTACACACAGGGTTCCAGAGAGGTCATCCCATCCATCCCACTGTCTGCTGGCAGCACCTCCCAACCACCCCCAGAAAGCTGCCACCAGAAGCCTCCAGGGTTCAAGGCTCCGTCTACCTACAGTGACTTGCTTCCCCCAGAGCCTGAGCTGCTGACTGCAAGGTCTTATGTTACTGAGTCATAAGACAGGTCCCTCCAGCTGCAGACGAGAAGAGGGTGCTGGCAAGCCCAGTTACCTGTCTCCATCGTGAAGATGAGGATCTCCTCACAGTCCAGGGCTCTGCTCAGCTCCAGCGTGAGGCTGAACGACTGGCCCCTGCGAACCACCAGCTCAGGGCAGGGGTACTCCTGGGTGTGGTGGGCAGCGCCATTCCTCGACCGCTGCCAGTCCACCTTGGTGACTCTGATCCCTGGGTGGGGAGAGGACAGGGAGATGAGGCCACGGCCTCCTGTTTCTCACCCACTCTGAGCTTGTCCTCCCATTCATTCTCGGCCAGTCATTTGTTCATCCAGCTGCTATTTATCATATACCGGCGATTCTCTGTTTGTTTGTTTGTTTGTTTGTTTTGAGACAGGGTCTCACTCTATCACCCAGGCTGGCGTGCAGTGGCGTGATCTCAATTCACCGCAACCTCTGCCTCCCAGGTTCAAGCAATTCTTGTGCCTCAGCCTCCCGAGTAGCTGGAACTAGCAGGTGCACATCACCACACCTGGGTAATTTCTTTGTATATTTTTGGAGAGATGGGGTTTTGCCATGTTGGTCAAACTGGTCTCGAACTCCTGACCTCAGGTGATCTGCCTGCCTTGGCCTCCCACAGTGCTGGGATTACAGGTGTGAGGCACCTTGCCCAGCCTCTTGGTCATTAAGTTCTGTAAAATCACTGCAAAGGTTGAATTAATGAGAACTGGCCCATTGCCCTTAGGGAAAATAAATACAGGTTTAGGTTCCTGTGAGCCTCTGGTCCCAACTTATTCATCAGTTGATCAGTATATAACCTTATTATATGTGCGTTTCTGTTTAAAGATACATTATTAGGATGGGCGTGGTGGCTCGCGCCTGGAATCCTAGCACTTTGGGAGGCCGAGGTGGGCGGATTGCCTAAGCTCAGGAGCTCGAGACCACCCTGGGGCCAACATGGTGAAACCTCATCTCTACTATAATACAAAAAATGAGCCAGGCGTGGTGGCGGGTGCCTGTAATCCCAGCCACTCAAGCAGGAGAATCGCTTGAACCCGGGAGGTGGAAGTTGCCGTGAGCTCAGATTGCACCACTGCACTCTAGCCTGGGCCACAGAGCGAGACTCTCCCTCTCAAAACAAACAAACATAATTTAATATATATTGATGATTCATTAATATTGAACTTGTGGCCAGCAGCGCTATAGTTCATGCCTGAATGTTCACCTAACACATATTTTTAGTGTAAGGCGTGTCGCAGCTTTCCTGCTCCTAGGAACATGAGACAGCACTTCAGTCCTATGCTCAGCGGCCATTTTAAACAGAGAAATCACCAACAAAAAAAGCACAAAAATGCAAAAAAAACCCTAGTTTTAAATGAACAGAGAAAGGTTATTTGTTTATAGTATGACAGCTGAAATGAAGAGGCAGAATATTGCCTGTTCAGCTTCAGCTGGGAATATGCATGTCAGGTCAGGTGACAATTTTTCCGCACTCTGTGCATGTCTGTGAATGGCCAAGAAAGTGCAGAGTATAGATTTTGGCTTTAAAAATAAATATTAGCAACGTGCATATACAGAATCCACAAGTGTTGAGGATGGACTGTATAATCTCTATGCCAGGCTGGTGTCTGGTGCTGAGTATATAGATGTGGGCTTGCCCTCAATGCATGGTGCGGTGAGACTGTATGGCTCAATGGTTATGAGGAGGTCCTCTGGGGGCAGCTGACATGGATTCAGATTCTAACCTGGCCATCTACTGGCTGAAGCACCTTCCTTTTTCTGAAACAGAGTGTCTCTCTGTCACCCAGGCTGGAGTGCAGTGGCGCAATCTCGGATCACTGCAATCTCTGCCTCCCAGGCTCAAGTGATCCTCTCATTTCAGCCTCCCAAGTAGCTGGGTCTGCAGGCACATGCCACCATACTCAGCTAATTTTTTGTATTTTTGGTAGAGACCAGGTTTCGCCATGTTGCCCCAAACTCCTGAGCTCAAGCAATCTGTCCGCCTTGGCCTCCCAAAGTGCTGGGATTACAGGCGTGACCACTGTTCCTGGCCCGCCTTCTTGACCTCTCTGCCTCTCAGTTCCCCGCTCTGCAGAATGGGAATAATGCCTGTGGCGTGATTGTGAGGATAATGGCCCCTGTCATTTAGAGTCCTCGTAACATGAGAGCTCAATCATCGTTACTTATTATGTTCCAGGGGTGACACCTAAGTAGGTGAGTCCACATAACTAATTCTTGCTTTGATACATGCTATCAGGGAGAAGGATGGGAGCTGAAAGAACACTAACAGAGGGCTTGGCCTAGTCTGAAGGGGCACAAGCAAGGCTTCCTCCAGAAGGCGGAACTGAGGCTGAGTCTTAAATTGGATGAGTGTCTCCAGGAAAGAGTTGAGTGTTGGATCTAGTCTCAGCCCAAGCATCCTCTTCCCCTATTCAGGGTTCATTCATTCACGTGCTGGGCATTGTGCTGGATGCTACAGACCCAACAGTCCATCAAATACGCACTGGCCCTGACATCATGCAGTTGATAGCCCAGTGGAGAAGACTGGCATTAAGCAGATAGACCTCAAACCTTTTGGGTCAAGCTTTGAGATGAACCCTAAGGGAGAGGCATTGGGAGTCCCAGGAGCAGAGAACACCTAAACTCAAGTAGTTAGATTAGCAAAACTATTTGCCAGAGTACTATAAGCAACAGCTTAAAACACCAGGATGTGTGCAGCCTTGAATTCTAGCCAGCAGCTATGGCGCTAGGCAGAGAGACAGGAGGAAGCATGGTGACTTCTAAAATTTGAGAGAAAGCAGATGTGTGGGGAAGGCAATGAGGTTGGAGGGGCCCATAGTCGGCAGACCACCAATGCTTGGAGTGGGATGAAGAGTCTGCCTTTTATCCTAAGGGCCGTAGTCAGCCAAATATTGTTTTAAGCAAAGCTGTGATGTAATCAGATTTGCACCTTGGAAAGATCATTCTGGTGCCATGTGGAAGATTGATTAGATATCTGGTGAGATGCTTTAGTAAGCAAAGGGATGTTCCAAGAAACTGCTGCTTCATCTTGTCAAACATCTGCTCCCAAATCTCCACTGGATGCCCCATTGTCTCTTATGATCTGTCCAAGCTCCTTCATCTTGGACAAGGAACTAGGCAGGATCCCATTGCTTTCCACTCCTCCAGCTCACCCCCCACCCCCTCACAGCTCAGTTACTCTTTGCACTGGCTGCATCAGACTCTACCTCCACAACCTCCTGCCCCGACGTCGCACATATCTCTTTCCTGCCTTGTGCTTTTCCTAAGGCCCCTCCTGGTTGGGGTGCCTGTGATTGTCTTCTGAGATGTTCCTGCCTCGGCCCTGCCACCAGAGTTCATCTCTCCTTTGTCCAATCAGCTATTAGATTTGGGATAACACAAACAACAATAATAAAATCTTTGTATGTATTCAAGTGCTTATGCCTCCTAACATACACCTAAGGGAGGTACTATGGCCCCTTTCATTTTCTAGATGCTGTCATGCTCACTGGGTTCCCTATTTCACTTCCCCTGTGCCCCCACCCCCGCATATCCTCAGGGCTCATTCTCAACATGGAAGCCAGAAGGATCCTGTTAAAATCTAAGATCACTCGTTGTTCTCAAGCTCTCCATTGGTTCCTGTCTCTCTCAGCAGAGTTGAAGTCCCGACAATGACCCACAAGCCCTTCAAGATTGAGCACTTTGATATCTTTTTTGGGCCTTCAGTTTCTCTTCCCCTCTCTCATCCCTTTAAGCCACACTGATCTCCTTATTTCTCTTTGAATCTGCAGACAGGCTCCCTCTTCAGGGCCTTTGCACCTGCTGTTCCCTGTATGTGGATCACTCTCCTTTCAGATTCCTGCAGAACCTGCTCCCTTGCCTCCTTCTTCAAGTCTTTGCTCAAATGTCACCTTTTCAGTGGGACCTTCACTGACCACTCCTTTATAAATTGCAAATCACCCCTACTCTCCTTCTCCACTATTTTCCTCCATGGCACTTACTGACATCTTACAATATATTTTATTTCTTTATTTTAATTGCCTACCTTCCCTTTCAAGAATATCAACTGCATAAGGGCAGGGAGCTGTGTCTGTTTTGTTCATTAGTGAATCTTCAGCGCCTGATACATGGAAGGTGCTCAACAAATATTTCTTAAATATATTAATGAATGAATGAGGAAACTGAGGGAAAGAGAAGTGAAATAACTTGCCAAAGGGCACACAAACAAGCAAGGGCTGGAGTGGAGTCTGTGGGCATCCTGGCTTCCAGCTGTTGACCACTGGGTCAGTGGTTATACTAGTTTTATTGTGATTAACATAAGAAACAGTTTTAAATGTTCCATACTCCATATGCCTGCGAACATACATACATGCACAGATATAAACTGAAACAAAAGTTTCATTACTATTTCCCCGTATTATGAATGATGAATACTGAAATTTATTTTCTTTTTCTGTCAAGGCTCTCTACCCAAAGACCACCAGGAACACATCAGTACAATGAACAGGAAGGGCTCATCGCTCACGGCAATGAGAAAGAATGCTCACCACAAAGAATCACGGAACATCTCGGGAAGACAATATTAGAGAGGACTTACAGGATTGCGGCTTGTGTTAGGTGGTTTGGGGAGAGTTCAAAGAAGCAGGGCTTTGCTTGGGATTGGAGGCTTCTCTGGGAATGAGGCAAGTCTATGTCTGAGTATCTTAATAGTCCTTACGTAGAAGATGGGAAGAATGAATTGAGGCTAGTGTCATAAGTAGTAAAGAAGCAGCCGTTATTCATATTAGCCCATCTATAGGGCTAATATGTCAGTAGATCGAGACCAGTAAGTGGCTTAGACAATGTTCATGTTTTTGTCTGTGTTCACTCATGATTATGGAGTGGCCTTGTTTTTGTCTTGATTCACTACAGTCGCAGGATGGCATCTGATCACTTCATCATGTCTTCTGGTAAAGTTTCAATAAGCATTTACATACTTAACTATGTTTAGTGAAAAATTGATTTCCTCTTATTTACTATTTATATTATAGTTAGGATACAATTTTTTAAAAAGTGGAGTATAGAGGTAGGTAAGATGTGTCAATTCAATTTCAGGTTGGTGAAGGGACACTATTAAATACTTGTTATATTGAGAGGGAGGGTATTACGGACAAAAAAGTTGATGTTTTACTCATCTATTGCTTCTTAACCAATCTGTTTAACCCAGAGTTTAGCTTGGAAAAATGATAATCATATGTTATCTTTCATGGTTTTTGTGGGTCAGGAATTTGGGCAGAGCTCCACTGGCCAGCTCTTAATTGGAGTTTCTTATGGGGTTGCAATCATATGTTAGCTGGGGCCATGTTCATCTGAAGGCTTGACTGAGGCTGGAGGATCCACTTTAAAGGTGACTAACTTACATGGCTGGCAAACTGGTGCTGAATACAGGTTGAGGCACCTTGGTTCCTTTCCATGTGGATCTTTCCATGGGAATGCTTGGGTGTCCTCCTGGCATGGTGCTTAGTTTCCCCTGAGCAAGTGACCTGAGAGACCATGGTGGAAGATGCAATGCTTTTTATGACCTAACCTCAGAAGTTACACAATGTCACCTCCGCCTTATCCTATGGGTCAAGGCAGTTACAAAGGCCTATGTAGGTTCAAAGAGAAGGAACATGCCCCATCTCTTGCTGAAAATGTACCAACGTCATGTCCCATTGTAAAAAGAATATTGAGCTGAGATGTATACTGATATGACCACCCTGTGAAATATAATCTGCCACAGTTGAGAACCACTGAAGTTACATCACCAGGTACTCCCCACCAAAGGACACTTGTCATGCAACTCTTGGCTGTATCTTATTTGATGCCAAGCATACAGGAAATGTCAGTAATTGTTGGCTAGACCATTGGATAGGTTTTATTTAATAAATCTTCCTATGAACCAAGTGCTTTTCCAAATATTTTATAAATATTAGCTCATTTAATCTTAATAAACCATATGAGGGAGGTACTGCTGTTAACTCAATGTCACAGATGATAAAACTGAGGTACAGAGTTACACAGCCTGTTTTTTTTTGTTTGTTTGTTTGTTTTTAATTTGAGATAGGGTCTTGCTATGTTGACCAGGCTGGTCTCCAACTCCTGGCCTCAAGCAATCCTCCCATCTCAGCTTCACAAAGTGCTGGGATTACAGGCATAAGCCACTGCACATGACCCAGAGTTACACAGCCTTCTAAGTGATGGAGCTGGGAATCTGCCTCCTGAGTTGGTGGCTTGTCTATCCCCAGGCTATGGTGCCTTTATCTTTGACCCCATAGGAGTCACAGCCTAGAAGTTACAGACTGTAAAATTCAACGTGAGCTTCACCACAGGCATCAGATCAGTGGCTTGTGTGGGCAAGTGTCTGGACAGGGCTGGTCAAAATGTTTGGCTTTTTAAAGATTCCAGCATCTTTGTAAAATCTTTTAGTTAACAGCATGTGGCAGATTGATTTTCCAAAGGTGGTTGCAATAATATCTCCCATCCCACATACTCTTCTTTCAATATGATGTTGATACTCCTCTCATTGCAGAAGTAAAGCATATATTCCCACCCTCTGGACCTGGAAGACTTGTGGCTAAGACAGAGTGACACATTGTGACTTCTAAGGCTAGATTATAAAAGTTAATACAGCTTCTTTCTGGTTCCCTTGGGTTGCTTGCTCTTAGAACCCAGCCACCATGCCATGAAGAAACCCAAATGGCCCACGGAGAATCTCACCTGGAGACGAACCAAGGCTTCCAACCCACAGCCCACTGAGCTCCCAGCTGACAGACAGAATTATCTGGAAGCCATGGGACTGAGCCATCTGGCAAGTGGGTCCTTCAGCCCCCAGGCAATCTGCCCCAGCTGATGCAGACGCAAGCTGTCCCTGCCGAGCTCTGCCCAAATTGCAGGTTCCTAAGCAGGAGAATGATTGTTGTCTGAAGCCCCTAAGTGCTGGGGCAGTTTGCTACACAGGAATTGAAAACTGAAACATGGAGAGAGCCAAGATTCTTGTCTAGACCACAACAACCTCCCAACTGCTCTCCACCTGTGAGCTGTCTGGGCTGGTGCTGTGGTCTCAATAATCAGGCTTGAGATTCATGGAAAATACTAGTTTTAGCTTAGCCTAGGCCAGAAGCCCCTGCTGGCATCATGATATGGGGATAATGACTGAACATGTGGGTAGGAACTCACATAGCTGACACATGTGTCCCAAGATTGGGAGCTCCTACAGCCCCTGCTGTGGTGAGTGAGCACTGTGCAGGACCAGTGTTCAACAGTGACCCCATGTGGCACGAGCTGGAACAACAGTTCCAGGGGGCTTTTCCATTACCCTTGCCAATTCTCACAACAGAAAGTAAAACCAAATCTTTCACATCAAGTTAGCCCCAGTCATTCTAGGGCAGGCACAAACCTCTGAAACTCCAAAACTTTGAGCTCAGATGACCTTGGTTTAGTCAGAAAACACAAGCAGGACCCTCTCCCGCAACCAGGTACCTTGTACATAGAATTGTCAAGTCTAATATCAGCAGAGCTGGAAGAGCCATTAGGAGCTCAGGTCTCCATTTACTGACATATAAGCTGAGACCCAGAAATGGGAAGAAAGGGACTTCTTGCCTGAGGACACACTGGATTTGTAGCCCACAATTCATGTTGCTACTTCCCAAGCAATGTATGTAGGGACAGGCCAGAACAGGATGCTATTTTTTCAGTGGATGAGTCAGAAGCAGACGACGAGGTTGCTGGATGGTAATTATCTCAGCCCTGGTATGCCCCAGGGCTGGATACAAGGGGAGTTTGGGATTGGATGAGGGCTGCTGGACCCTGGGTCATGGGTTCAAGCTCCATGGATCCTGCACTGGTTTCCCCCCTTCCCTGCCACAGCCCAAAGCAGCTCCCAGCACCCTCTGAGGCATCTGCATCCTTATCACAGACGGGCAAGAGGAGGTGGTGGGATGAGTCAGAACTGCCATTATCATCATTGTCCTGGAATCTCAGAGACCACCTCTCTCACAACTTCCTGCCCAGGCACAAATTCCCTTGGCCGAATTCTTGGTGGATACTTGATCATGGTCCCAGCTTGCCATACCTCTGAGAGGTAGCTCACTCACCGCCCAATGTTAGAAAGCCCTTCCTTCTGCTGAGCCAAGCTCTTTCTTCTTGCAGCTTCTCCCCATTTGTCCCTATTTTGCTCCCCATTAACCCCATAGAACACACTTCTTCTTTTGCTCCTTGATGGGGTTTTGCAGAAACCACCTAGAAATCCCAATCTGCCAGCCCCCGGCACCTCCCCTGCCCAACTCTACACTCACCCCATAACCCAGGAGGTCACTGTTCTGATCCCTGTGGAATCTGTCCCTGGAGCTGCTGCTTTGGTGATCTAAGTCATCCACATCCATCAGCATCACACCTCCATGACCTGCCATATGTGGTGTAATAGCCGGGGCTGGGGTCCAGGATTCTGCAGGGGGAACTACCGGTGATTTCAGATACGTTCTGTCCTAGCCAGTGTCCCTCTTAGTCCTCATGGGGACAGTGAGACTGACGGGCATGGGGAGAGGCTCCTAGGTATACGGCAGCCCAAGGCGAGGAGATAGATGTGCACTTGGGATGGTTTCCAGGCCCCTTGTCAAAATAAACCCAGTATCACCCCTTCCATGTGCTCAGCTCAAATTCTTTTAAGACGGAGGCTTCTGTCCCTTATCTGTGATCAGGGATGCTGTGTTATAGTTGTTTGCTTACATACGTCTCTCCCTCACTGGACTGAGAGCTCCATGAAGGCGAAGGCTGAGTCTCCCCCTCCCTGGGTTGCTAGAACCTGGTTAAGGGCCCAGGGCATATTAGGTGCTCAGTGAATGTTGGTTGGATGAATGAATGAATCTCCTTCCCCATCCCTTGGCTGGGGTACGGAATGGGGAGCTGATGCTCTGCAGCGTCCTTGGGCCCGCCCTCGAGGATCAGCACCCACACCCTGTCAGCTGCTCACGCTCCGACTGTCCACACCCCACCCACCCCATAATCCCTCTCTCAAGCTGTCACATTCCAAAGCCTGCCTTTCCTTCTTAACTTCTTTCCTTCCACAGAGTGAGAAAGAGGAGGGTGTGTGAGGCCTCTGACATGGGCAGGCAGACTGGCCACTGACCACCCACTCCCACCCACTGCCTCTCTGGGTCTGTTTTCTTCTCTGTAAAATGACCCAGAAGGAATCTGATGGTTTGGATAGTCTGTGGTTTGCTGAAGCAAGTGCTTCTGATTACCCCCAAGGACTCCTCTCAGCCCTCCTCCCTACAAGACAACCCCCACCTCAACACCTCCCCCCTCCCCAGCCGAGAGAGTGCTGATGTGAAGATTGTCACATAGCCTCTAGGACATGGTTTTCCTGCACTGGTTGTCCCTCTTCCCTGCCACAGCCCAAAGCAGCTCCCATCACCCTCTGAGGCATCTGCATCCTTAACACAGACGGGCAAGAGGAGGTGGGATGAGTCAGAACTGCCATTATCATCATTATCCTCAAATCTCAGAGACCATCTCCCTCACAACTTCCTGCCCAGGCACAAATTCCCTTGGCCGAATTCTTGGTGAATACGTGATCATGGTCCCAGCTTGCCGTACCTCTGAGAGGTAGCTCACCCACTGCCCAATGGAGGGGATGGGAGAGGCAGCATCTGCTCTAAGACTGCTCCAGTTGACAGTGAACCCAAGGCCCTGAGGACAGAACTGGCAGCCTGTTTTCAGCTCTGGGGGCCTTCACCCTTGGGGTATGCAGGATGAGCTCCCAGCCCAAGGCTAAAGGCTCGCCAACCCCAGGGCTGAGGCTGTACCCCCCAGGCACAGGGAAAGGATGTGGTAAGAGTGCTCCCTCCACCTGCCTGTTACCCCAAGCCTCATAGCCCCTCCAGCTTGTCTGCTCTCCTCCCCTTCTCCCTCTCATCGTCTTCTCAGCGCTTCCTTTCACTCTGCACAGCAACTAGAAGCCTGATTTCAGAGGCACACACTTGAGCTCACATGCAGGCTTTGCCCCTCGTTGGCTGTGTGGCAAGTGAGTGAGCTCTGAAACTCAGTCTCCTGGTGACAATGAGGGTGATGATCATACCCGCTTCCTCACGTTGGGAGGATTAAGTGAAATAATTCACATAGAGTATTTAGACTGGTACCAGGCACATACTAGGTTCTCAGGAAATGTGAGTGGTATCATCATTACTATTTACACAAGACCTCCTAGCTGCCATTCCTGTGCTCTGCCAATTCATGACATCCTGAATCATCTACTTGTTGGCTGTGTGGCCCTGGATCTGAGGATCCGATTTCCTTCTCTGGAAAGTGGCAATAATAATATCTTTCGTCTAGGGTTTCGAGGAGGATTAAATGGGGTAGTAATTATACATAGGGTAGTGATAAAATGCACCACTTAAAGCAGGAAATTCTGAGAGTGAAAGGAGAAGCCATTAATAAACACGCTAGGGCAATGGGCTTCCACCAGGATCAACGTCTCCCTATTCATCAGGTACGTAGCCTGGTGCTGGGTCCACAGTGATGAGCTCTACGAACAGGGATTTTTTTTTTTTTTTTTTTTTGAGACGGAGTCTCACTCTGTCGCCCAGGCTGGAGTGCAGTGGCACAATTTCTGCTCACTGCAAGCTCCGCCTCCCGGGTTCATGCCATTCTCCTGCCTCAGGCTCCCGAGAAGCTGGGACTACAGGTGTCCACCACCATGCCCGGCTAATTTTCTGTATTTTTAGTAGAGATGGGGTTTCACCGTGTTAGCCAGGATGGTCTCGATCTCCTGACCTCATGATCCGCTCACCTTGGCCTCGCAAAGTGCTATGATGACAGGAGTGAGCCACCGCGCCCGGCCTACAAACAGGGATTTTTACATCATCACTCCTTTCCCACATCTCCCCCATCACTTTGGTCCTCCCCTCCCCAATTCCTACATGCACGGGGTTTCTTGTTATTCTCCCCTCTTTGCTTCTCGCTTAAGCGACTGTATGGCCCCAACAGCTTCAGAGTGTTTTTCAGCTCAACCTGTTCAATCCATCCCATCACTATGGAGAAACTGAGGTTCAGAGAGGAGAAGGGACTTTTCTGAGTGTCAGCATGTCATTTTCCCTGCTCAAGCACCATGGAATCTACAGCCATCTTGTTGGCATTGAAGGTCCTTGACAGTCAGGCCCTGCCCATCACTTCTGGCCCTCTGACCTCCTCCCCAACTAATTTGCTCACCAGCTGGCCCCAGAGCTCCACCTAAGAAAGGGAAGGGTCCATGTGCAGAACATTGCCTCCTGCCGACTTAGCTCTCCACCCATCCCCACCCCCAAGCCTAGCTCATCCATCTTCCTCCTCCTGCCCTTGGGTGATACCAGAGAGCTGAATGATACAATCCTCCCCAATTCTTTGTCTCAGGCCAGTGGGCTTGAGCCCTGGAAACTCTGTTGAAGCCAGTGGCATCTTCCAGACTCTGGACTAAGCATAATTGGTTTTTAATGGGCCCCATTATAATCCTATGCTTAGTACGCATCATGAGCACCTGAACTCCATGACTAAATGATTTATCGAGAGTTGCCTGGGGCCTTTCTGGGGCCACTGCCCCATCTCTCTTTCCTTCCTGGTCTTGTTGGAAGCTGCTGGCCTCTCTTTCACCAGGAGGCAGTGACTCATCAACTCCAACCCAATGTCCCAGCCAGAGCCAGCCTCACATACAGTATTCCACTCAATTCTTGGAATCTCTGAGCTGAAAGATGATTGTAATTTAATCATGGCAAAAGGGTCTCACCTCCTTTGCCAACACTGATCAACTGGTACTTAAAGAGCTGGGTTGAGCATTCTGGGGCCACATCCAGGCTCCAGAGGGAAGAGCTCTGGGGTCAACTAGGGATGTCCACCATGGATGGAGTGAGGGAGGGGGGATAGAAGGAGCTCCAGGAAGATGAATACACTTTCCATCTAGGATCTGATGTCTCAGTCATTCAGGCACAGAGTGTGTGGTAGGCAGGACCTACTGCTCTGAGGAACAGATCCTCCCAAGAAGCCAAGAGGACCCAGAAGACCCAGGAATTGAATCCAATCCAACACATAGTCCATTTACATAGGCATGACAACTCCAATGCTGACATTTCACAGACGGAGAAACAGAGCTTCAGAGAGAGGAACCCAGCAAGTTAGTTACAGACCTGACAATGGGCATCATCATCAACTTTTTTCCTTCCTCAGAAACTAACCTTCGCACTGTCAAGTTTAAGTCTGATAGGTTATCAAAGGCCCAGGGAAGAGGGATCATCTAGGTGAACTTTGAGAAGCAGATCTTGGAGGAACAAAGGCAATCCCCTCTGCACCAGGGCCATCAGGGAGGCAACCCCAGCTCTGGAAACAGGCAGTCTGGGCTGTGAGCTGGTGTTGGCAAGGCCTGGTCTTCAGAACAGACCTATCCTAGGAGCCTGAAGGGCCCAACACGTCCAGCAATGCTGTTAACTGCCAGGAGGAAATATGAAGAGGAAGCTAGACTATGATGAGGAAATTCAAATATCTGCCTTTGAAAGTTAAAAAAATATTTGATTCATAAAACTGTCACATAATGCTGAACAATTAAAACTGGCAGACACAGACTCAGAAACACCCCTTGAATACCTGTGAGTGTAGGACCCCTGGTTCTGCTGACTTGCTCATTACCGGGCCCCAGCATCTAAGACAAGTTCTTGCAGAGGGAGTTTGCTGCTCACTATATTGAGGTCGTGGGGGACACATTATCTTACTTTCTTTTTTTTTTGAGACAGGGTCTCACTCTGTTGCCCAGCCTGCAGTGCAGTGGCACCATCTTGGCTCACTGTAGCCTCTACCTCCTAAGCTCAAGCGATCCTCTCACCTCAGCCTCCCAAGTAGCTGGGACTTTGGGTGTTCCCCACCATGCCTAGCTAATTGTTGTATTTTTTTGTAGAGACGGGGTTTTGCCACATTGCCCAGGCTGGTCTCAAACTCCTGAGCTCAAGAATTCCACCCCCTTCAGCCTCCCAAAATGCTGGGATTAGAGGCGTGAGCCACTGTGCCCGACCCACATTTTCTGAGTCTACTGTTTACAAGTCCCCACTTGAGATGTGTGGTGGGAGAACAGCACACGTGGTCTCACCAACTCCTCACAGCAAGGCTGTGAGATAATTTGCATTATAATCCCCATTACACAGATCAGAAAACAGAGGTACCAAGGGCAAATTTTCTTGCTCAAGGTCATATAGCTGTTTTCACTTGAGCCAGAGCTGCTCTTGCCCTCAAGTGCTTGGGGTGGGAATCAGGCGAGGATGCAGCCGGTGGGGGCCTCTCACTCCTTCCCACGCAGGCCACAATTCCCAACTATGCCCAGAAACGTCTCTGGATCCATGGAATGTGCATGGGGTGCAAGGAGATTTTCTTTTTTCTGCCCCTGCCTTCCTGTGCCTGCCTCCTTCAGTCCTCCGAGGCACAGGGGTGAGACCTGGCCCCAGCCCAGGAGACAGCGCCTGAGCCAGCCTGGGCCATGGCCTTGCTGGGTGGCTTAAAGCTGGCTTTTTCATCCTGGGCCTCATGAATCCACACGAAGAGTTCATGTGTTCATGGTGGACTATCCAGCTGTAAAATCCTAACAATCGATGATCAAACGTCATCCCACAGACCCGTGTTTCTTGAAGCCCCCCTCATGAGCCCTGGTGTCCCAAGGCCCCAGGCTCTGCCCACTTACCTGCCATGTGAAGGCCAGCTGGACTCCTCTGTTCCTCCACACAGCAGTGTGTGCACCGTCAGGACAGTGTGGCGCGTCACAGCAGCCAGCCAGACCAATTTTAACAAGGAAAACCTTGGGACACTCCTAGGCAGGAAAGTCAGAATTCAAAAGAGGAGGCGTGGCCCTCCACCCTAGCAGCGACACCCACGAGACACAAAATCATCCTGTAATTGCACCTAGAGGGGTTCACTGTGGGAGTGGCTCCTGCCAAGAGACCTTGGAAACACGGAGTTGCGAATGGGACTGTGGAGAAACTGAGGCTCAGAAAGGTCACAAGCCTGGCAAGAAAAAGAACGGGGAAAGAGAGAAGACTGAGGGAACTCGGATTTATGGTTGGCCATTCTTAGCCCTCACAACAACCCTCAAATGAGAAAAAACAGGCTCAGCGCCAGGACCCCGAAGTACATGGTTGCACGCTGCAGTGCCGGGTCAGTCTGTGGCTCCCTCTCCCCTCCTGGGTGAGAGCAGAAGACTCCTGGGCCCACAGCTCCACTCTGTTCTGCAGGCATCTAAAGAGGCAGAGGTCCATGATCCTCCTTCAGGGCCACTAGACTTCCTTGGTGGACACTAGACTCTTGAGAGGAGGTAGATAAGAAAAAGGGGAGAGCTGGTTCTGACTCAGAAGCTAGGCCCATCTGCCCTGACTTTGTGAGTGGCCTCCAGCCAGGAGCTTAGAGGCCTGGTGGCCATGGGTGTCCCGTGACCTTGGACAAGACCTCTCCCCTCCTGGAACCCTGGTGTTTCTACCTACAAACTAAAGGGATTGGACTCAATTATTCTTCAGGGCCATTCCAGCTCAAAGTCTAAGATTCTGGGCTTGAAGGTGCTGGAATTCAAGGCATCTGAGGTCTTTTGTTAATGAAATAGAGGGGATTTTATTTTCATGGAAGCCGGTGGGGTAGGTTTCTTTTTGCCGGAGAAATGCTTTGATGGATGACTTGGGGCTATCGAAGGCTGGATGTGGCCTGGGCCAGTGAGGAAGGGGAAGTGGGAGGGGGTAGAATCGAGGGAAAGAGACAAGGAAGGGTAAGGAGACAACCGTGTGCTGAGCACAGTAGGATGAGGCCGCTCCCTGGGATCACCCCAACATTCAGGAAACTGCATAAAAACCCCAAAGTGTTTGATGTGGTTGGATTTCTTACAGAAAGTGGCAAAGAGGCTGAGTTCTGCTTCCTGGTTTCACGCAGATCAAGCGTCTTTAATGAGCTGTCTGCAGACCCACATAGCCTTATAATTACTGACATCTGGCAGCAGCCCAGGGCAGCTCCTTCCTCAACACCCTGCAGGCTGCTGCCCTGTAGACCCTGGGCCCTGCTGAAGCTGCTTTTCTGCCTATGCAGGGTCAGGCTCCTCCCCACTAATGATGGTCTTATTCAGGGCCCTTTTATCTTTCATCCTGGGCTTGCTTGGACGGGAGCTCCCAGAAGACAGGGCATCAAAATCACTGCCTGCCCCACTGCTCGAGACCCCAAATAATAATTCATACTCCTCGTTTTTTTTTTTTGAGACAGGGTCTCGCTCTGTCACCTAGGGTGAAGTGCAGCGGCACGATCTCAGCTCGGTGCAACCTCTACTTCCCGGGTTCAAGCAATTCTCCTGCCTCAGCCTCCTGAGTAGCTGGGACTACAGGCGTGTGCCACCATGCCCGGCTAATTTTTTGTGTATTTTAAGTAGAGACAGTTTCGCCATGTTGGCCAGGCTGGTCTCAAACTCCTGACCTCAGGTGATCTGCCCACCTCAGCCTCCCAAAGTGCGAGATTACAAGTGAGAGCCACTGCACCCGGCCCATACTCAGTTTAGAAGTGAGCATCATAGCCTGGCAGTAGAGTCCTGGGTTCTGTTATCTCTGGGCCAAACTGGCTGTGTGACCTTCAGCAGGTCACTTACCTTCTCTGGGCCTTATTGCCTTCATCTGTAAAATACGGGTGTGAACTAAGTGTTACCAGTTCCAACATTCTCTGATTCTGATGATCAGGCTAGAGATGACAGACGGGAGCCAAAGCCTTGGGCGGCTCAGGGTACCCCAATGCCAGGCATAAAGTGGGTGCTTCACAAATTAAAATCTGTGCCTGGGGAATAATCAGATGCTTTAAAAGCAATTTAATTGTTCTTCTGGCTATAGAGATAATACATACTCAGGTACAAAATTCAAGCAATACAGGGAGTGAAGAAAGTATACATGCATACGGCTGTATACACATGGCAACAAATTTACATGAATCGCATCATACACAGAAGCTGTTTTGTAACCCGTCCTTTTTGCTTGACCAAACATGGTGCTCTCTTTTCTTTTCTTTTTTTGAGACGGAGTCTTGTTCTGTTGCCCAGGCTGGAGTGCAGTGGCTCGATCTCAGCTCACTGCAAGCTCCACCTCCCGGGTTCTCACCTTGCTTCTGCTTCAGCCTCCCAAGTAGCTGGGACTACAGGCACCCGCCACCATGCTCAGCTAATTTTTTTTTTTAATTTACTTTTAGTAGAGATGGAGTTTCACCATGGCCAGGATGGTCTCAATCTCCTGACCTCGTGATCCACCCGCCTTGGCCTCCCAAAGTGCTGAGATGACAGCTTTTCAAATCATAGAATATAGCTATGCACTGTCATTATTAATGTCATCTCTTGTGTGAATTTACATAATTTTACTAACCCTTCTTAAATTTATAAGAATTTAGGTCATTTCCACTTTTTTGCCCTTATAAAGAAATTTAATTGTTTGCATGTATTTTTGTGTGCTTCTATGATGGGACAATTTCTGCCAAGTGAAATTGTTGAGAGGAGCCATTCTTCAAGACAGCAATTCCATGTGCAGGAATTTGTCCGACAGATGGATCCAAAAGTGTGGAAAGATTTAAGTACGAGGATATTTATTGCAACATTAATTATAACAGAAAGAGTGAAAACTCTCCTGTCTTCATTAATGGGATAAATTATGATCTATCCATGTAATAAAATACTATGTAGCTATTTAAAAAGTGGAGGCAGACTGATGCACGTGGATATGAAACAGTCTCCTAGATACATTGCCTAATTAAAAACAAAAAGTAAGGTGGAAAATAAAAGGAGGTGGTAGAAACGAGAAGTCAGGGAGAAACCTAATTTTTGAACTCTTAGAAATGTTTGACTGTGGGTATATACTACCTTTCAAAAACATTATTATTATTATTATTTAAAATAACAAGCCAGGCATGGTGGTGTGCACCTGTAGTCCCAGCTACTTGGGAGGCTGAGGTGGAAAGATACAGCGAGCCCAGTTTGGGTCCAGCCTGGGCAACGTAGCAAGACTCTGTCTCTAAAAACAAATAAACAAGCAAAATTATGATATATTTTGCCAAATTTCCCTCTAGATACATACGTATCCTCAAACCACCATTTTTATTCTGTGGCACTCCTCATTCCAAAGGCCCTGTGGCTTCTCACTCCCAACAAGGTCCTAAGTTCAAACTCTTTATGGTGGCCTCCAATGCCTTTTGCAATACATTTTTTTTTTTTTTTGAGATGGTGTTTCACTCTTGTTCCCCAGGCTGGAGTGCGGTGGTGCGATCTCGACTCACTGCAACCTCTGTCTCCCCGGTTCAAACGATTCTCCTGCCTCAGCCTCCCGGGTAGCTGGGATTACAGGCACGTGCCACCATGCCCAGCTAGTTTTTGTATTTTTAGTAGAGATGGGGTTTCACCATGTTGGCCAGGCTGGTCTCGAACTCCTGACCTAAAGTGATCTGACCACCTTGGCCTCCCAAAGTGCTAGGATTACAGGCAGGAGCCACCACGCTTGGCCAGCAGTACCATCTTAATTTATCCCAAGTCTCTTTGTTGCTCTTCATGAATACTTGGCCTCACACAGGCTCAGCAGCACCCCCCCAGAATACCCCCAAGTCCACCATGGCATGAAGATGCTGAACAAGCTACTTCCAGAAATCATGTTCTTCTATCCTATGTGCTCAAGTAGGAGACCACAGCCAACAGTCAGAGTCATGAATCTAAAGTTTAGTAGGTTCCTGGCATGTAGTAGATGCTCAATGTATGAATGTTTAGATGGGTTACCTGTGTTTAGATGGTTGCCTCAGATCTTGGCTCTGGAGTCAAACTGCCTTGGTCAAATTTCAGCTTCATCACTTAGTTCTCTATTGGCAAATAAGTTAACCTTTCTAGGCCTCAGTTTTCTTATGTGTAATGTGGGGATAAAAGTAGTGCCTACCTCAAAGGGTTGTTGTAAAAATTAAATGTGAATATATGTAAAGCACTTAGAACACTGCCTGGCACACACCCAACAAATATTAGTTGTAATTATTTTTACTTTCTTCTTTTTATTTTCTGTATTGCTTTACTTTTCTATACAAATCTGTATTATCTTTAAAGTCAGGGGAAAGAATAAAAATTTCTCATTCATTTTGCCCCTTTTTCCCGTCCTAAAAACTGAATTCCAGCTCCACGTCCTTCCAGGAAGCCTGATTGCCATAGTCTCCAGGGGTCTTGACTGCTTGGAGCTCCTGGGCATGTCCATCATCTGTCCCTCTGTCTGTCCGTCCACGAGCCTCACACTGCAGTGGCTTGTTTCCTTCCCACCACAGCCTCCTTGATGAGGATGTCTTGAGGGATTCAGGTCTCTCTGTCCTCCCATCTGCTCCCCAGCACCATGCCCTAAATCCAGTGAAGAGGAGGTCGTGCTAAAGCACCCTGTCCTTTGGGGAGGAGTTCAGAGAAATAAGGGTCTCTTGATGGGGAGTGAGGATGGAAGAGAGGCTTTCTCCAGGGAGCCAAGCACAGATGCCTGGGCAGGGCCCCTCCCCTTTGATCTGTGATGAGTTGTTCACATGCTTAAGACACCAGTAAAGTGTGGATACCAAGCAGTTTTTTTTTTTTTTTTGAGGCAGGGTCTTGTTTTCTCCCAGGCTGGAGTGCAGTGGTGTGATCTTGGCTCACTGCAACCTCTGCCTCCTGGGTTCAAGCAGTTTGATTCTCCTGCCTCAGCCTCCTGAGTAGCTGGGATTACAGGTGTGCACCACCACGTCCAGCTAATTTTTTGTATTTTTAGTAGAGACGAGGTTTCGCTCTGTTGGCCAGGTTGGTCTCAAACTCCTGGCCTCAAGTGATCTGCCCAAAGTGCTGGGATAACAGGCTTGAGCCACCGTGCCTGGCCTGAATTTTAAAAAATATTTTAACATTAAAAAAAAAAAATCAAAGGACTCACCTTGGGAAAATAAAAACTGTGTTGTGTTTACTTAATTTCAAGTTTACTTTTGTTTTAATTATATGGATTGGAAGGGCACCATGATTTTTTTCAGGACTCAAAGCATCTCCCTAGCCCTGAATGTACAGTGGAATTTTCCAGAGGCTTCATGATATATAATGTTTAAAAAATTGAATACAAAAGCAGCTATGAGAATCCAGCTGTTCTCTGTTAAGCCTGCCATTTAGTTAAAGAAATTTGCAAAAAAAAATTTATATCTAAAACAATGCCACTCATACTAATGTTATTTTTGTTCTTGGAAAGTACAGTTATTTTTCATAAATACATGTTGTATGTGTTAAGATGCAATAGGTTTTTTAGTTTCTAAGTGAATTAATGCATACATTTTTGTAAGTTTCTCATTGTTAGCTTCCAAATCAGTAAAAAAAAAACTATAGATATAACCCACATAAGCAAGTGCTCTTTGGCATCTCAATAATTTTTAAAAGTGTAAAGGGGTCTTGAGCCCCAAAAGATTGAGAACTGCTGGCCTAGAGTGCACTTCCCCTCTAGGATTCCAGGTCTGTCCCTTAAGAGAAAACTTCAGACTGACCCAAATCACAGGGGAGGGAGCCTGAGGCTGTGGACTCAAGTAAAGATGAGGCTGAGGGCCAGAAAAATCCAGAGCAGCTGTGCCCTGTGGGTGGCACCCCAGGCCTCTCTGCTGCTTGGAACCCCCATATCCAGAGCCCCGTGGGTCCAGCAACCACAGACCTGGTACCGCCCATGGGTGAGTTCCAAGGGCCAAGCAACCAGCTGGACACAGGATCCCCTGTGCACTCTGGCTGGGAGTCACCTGTGTTGTTTTGGGAATTCATCCTCACAAGACAATGAGTTAGAACAACCTATCACAGCTAGACCTGGACTGGTCGGGCAGCAGGGTGTCCCTTCCCCTCTCTGGGCCTCTGTTTACCTGGCTATAAAATGGAAGATGATACTGCTCCCTCTCACCCTTGGGCAAAGTCATCGGGCAACTAATAAAAGACTGTGAAGCTCTAACTCACCTCTACATCACCTCATCCTTAGGACCATGCCTGTAGCCGGTGACATAGGTGATAGGCAGCTGGCGTTCATGCTCTTGCAGGGAGGTGCTCACCCAGTTGGAAGGCAAGATGCTCTAGTACTGTCATCAGCAGACCTTGTCCTTGCCCACCTTATGTGGGCCAGAGCTGTGTGGCAAGCCTGGAGGTAAGAGGTGGCCTCATCCCTGTCACCTGTGTCCTATTGTGGCCTCGTCTGTCTTTCCATACATCACACATTGTTAGCACCTACGAGCGGCTCTGAAGCTGCAAAGACTTCAGATCTCACTGTGTCACTGCTTTGGATGCTCAGGAATCACCTCACTTATGATCCCCTCTTCATTCATTTCTTCCATTCTGCATTCATTAATTCCTGTCAAAACTCATTCAGCAAATACTTCTTCATGCTCATTAAAGGGAGAATCACTGTGGAACCTATTGAGATGTCAGCGGTTCTAACACTTTTGCTATCAACTTCTCGATGTCATCTGATTCTAGATCCTCCCCTTGGTTCAGTTCGGCTCACTCACTCTGTGATGAGGATAGTGTTTTTGAAATATTTTCAGTCATATTTCTGGTAAATTATGTTGACCTGAGGTTCCCCACCCACTGAAGCCAAGAGTCTCTGTGCTTCCGGGACAGGGCAGAGGAGACTAATTATAATGGGTCATCATCTAGCACTGACTGCCCTATCAGGTTTTTTGGTTTCTGTTTTGTTTTGTTTTGTCCTTCATAAGACAATGTTGTTTTTAAAGCTAGGCTTTGCCAAGAAAGCGTTTAGTAAACTCTTTAAGTTTCCATTAACTATCAGGATCCAGGCTTAATGAATCATAGCTCATTGTAGCCTGGATCTCCTGGGCTCAAGTGATTCTCCCACCCCAGCCTTCTGAGTAGCTGGGAGTACAGGCATGTGCCACTATGTCTGGCTAATTTTTACTTTATTTTATGTTTTGTGGAGGCAGGGTCTCGCACTGTGTTGCCCAGGCTTGTCTCAAACTCTTGGCCTCAAGTGGTCCTCCTGCCTTGGTCTCCCCATTTGTTGGGATTACAGGCATGAACCACTGTACCTGGCCTGGATACACCATTTCAGGGAAATCCTTTCTACCAGGGCACTGAGGGGAGCCCACCTGTGTTGAGTATGGGGAAGAGAAGTGAGACCAAGGAAGGAGAAGCAGGCAGATTTTCTATCTGATTTCAGCTTTCTGGGGCAAATTTCCATAGTTTCAGGAAAAAGCCAAAATTAGAGGGCTTTTGCCAACCAACCTATGGTAGGAAAAACATCAGAACAGTGGTTGCCTTTGGGGGTGGTTAGAGACAGAGATTGGAAAGGGGCATGAGGGGAGTTTCTGGAGTGATCATTTTTTCTATATTTTGATTGGAATATTGATTACATAGGCATTTATTAAAATGCAGCAAATGTACACTTTAGATTTGTACATCTCATTATATGTGAATTTAACACCAAGAAAAAAACTGTAAACAAATTTCAAACTCTAGTTAACCATAGGCATGCTGAAGTATTCAGAAGGAAGTGTACCAATGTCTGCAATTGACTTTGAAATGCACCAAAAATTTCTGGTTGGATGGATGTGTGGATGGACGAAAGGATGGATGGAAGAGTGATAAAATAAGCATAGTAAAATGTTAATGGTAGAATCCTAGGTGAGGGGCATATGGTGTTCACTATTAAATTCTTTTAACTTTGCTCTATGTTTGAAAATTTTCATAATAAAATGAAAAAAGGGTTTTTGCTTCATGTAGCATCATGTTTTCTAGCTGTCCAGTTCTTTTTATTGTTATTAATTTTTTTTTTTTTTAAGAAACAAGGTCTATGCTATGTTTCCCAGGCTGGACTCAAACTCCTGGGCTCAAAAGATCCTTCCGTGTCAGCCTCCTGAGTAGCTGGGACTACAGGCGTATGCCACTGCACACGGCTTGCAGACCCTTTTGAATGCCTTTGCTGTATTTTGCAAATTTCCAGCCTCAATAGTCACACCATCCAAAGCCAGAACACAGAAAACTCAAAGCCCAGCCTCCCTGGTAGGTAGGATGCAGGCCTGCCACATGCACTCATCAGATCAAACCCAGGCAAGCAAGACTCCAGCTCAGAAGTGTGCAATTGGATGGCATGGATTACCTGCAGGAGGCAGGTCTGTTGGCATGAATGGTGGCAGAGACCAGCTTCCATGGGGATCATGGTTTACTAGTAGCTGCAGGATGAGTTCCTGCCCCAGAGGAGCATTGGCAGAACAGGGGCAGGAGCGTTGGTAGCAGCTTCTATTTCCTCGTCAAGCCGGTTCTGAGGTTCTGGATCTTATTCCTGGAAGCTGAGTGCTCCTGATGATTCTGCGGGTCCTCCTTTATCCTTTTATAAATGCATTTTTGCAGACAGAGGAGCTTGAGAGGTAGGCCTGAAACAAGCCTCCTGTCCACGGCAGGCAGGGATCCAGAAGTTCCCATATGGTCAAGGGAGGGGAATGAAGACGCTGAAAGGACTTGTTGACCAGCAGTAGCCTGGAGTTGGGACAGAAGCCATGGAAAGTGAGGACTTCTCAGCTGGAGGCACAGGGCAGGGACCACAGCCTCCAGTGCTGGGAGCCAGCACCACATCCAGAAGGCCAGTTGTGATCAGACACACATCAACTGTCACCAATAAAGGACCAGGCGAAAGCAGACAAGTCTGTAAACAGAGAACATGTGGGTCCCAACCTCCCTCACAGAAGCCCCCATTCCAGGCTCCCTAGATGCAATCCTGGAGGAGAACAGAAGGAGGAGGAGTCTGAGAGATTAAGCACTTACGCGGCAGGGGCTGGATTATAATTACAAGACCGCTTGGACTGGAAGAGTCTAAGGTATGATTAACCCAAGTTTAAAAACGTGTTTTTTTCTGGAACCCAGCAGGACCAGGGCTCATAAAGATTAGATCAGTGATAAAAATAAAGTCATCTTTTCATTACCCATTGGAGAACTGCAGTGCTACCATTTACTGTGCACTTTCTGCGTGTCAGGAGCTGCTCTAATTTGCATTTTACCTACTACTAAGCACCAGTGTTGTTCCCACTTTTCTGAAGGGAAAACTGAGGCTCAGAAAGAATATGCATACTTCTCAAGTTCACAAAGTTGATAATGAATGGAGTCAAAAATTGAACCCAGAGAGTCTGAGTTTAGTATCTATAGTCTTAACCATGGTGCTAGCGCTACAATGGGCAGGGATGGACATGGCAGAAATACAAGGAGGTTGCCATGCTCTGGCTTTGCTGCTCCAGTTATCACTTTGTTCAAGATTCTGCACTTCATTTGGCCAACCACCAAGCCTATGTTAGTGTCTATGTGGGTGAGGCATTGTGGAAGAGTGAGGAGTTAGACCTGATCCTGCTACCAGGCATTACCTTGCTCAGAATCTTTTCATTCATTCATTTATTTCAGATGATAATGGTGGGGAAGAGGGAAGGATTAAAAATGAATAAGACACAGTTTCTAGCCTTAAAGGAACTCATTATCTATAAGAAAGAAAAACAAATACACAAAAGTGGCAGCCCATTGAAGTGGATGATTCCTAAGAAATACATTAACAGAGAGTTGTGTTAGCTCAGAGCTAGGAGAGGACATTTCCAGCAAAACTTTCCCGGGAAAAAGAATGAAAGTAATTTAATTCTGTTGGGAGAATGATGTTCTTCTTGTAAATTCTAAGTGTTTTTTAAGGAAATCAGTTGAAAAAAGTATGCTTACAATCAAATCCCCAGTCTTTCCTGTGTTTAAAGAATGTTTCAAACTCTCAAGGGAGATGAACAAGGAAGGAAAAGATGAAATGGTTAGGAGTGATAATCTTCCAGCTCTGACTGTGTCCTGGCCAGTACAGCCTGGCTCATCCTCAGGCCAGTCACTACAGAAAGCCAGACATGAATGCCGCCCCCTAAAACACAAAAATGCCTTACTGAGAGCTTTGCAGAACAGAGGAGTAAAAGGGCTTCCCGGCATAGATATTGGCGTGAACACCTGCAGTCAGTTCCTGAAGCCTCACCAGTACGGCAAGAAGGACTTCGGAAGAATCAGAGAGAAGTTAACAACAGCAAAACCTTGAAAGCTCAAAAGCAGGGGGAAGACAGGCAAATAATGAGCAGATCTGAAAAAAAAAAAAAAAAAAAAAAAAAGCTAATTCTCACCTGGCAACGAGAAATCCAGGCAGTGGTGAAAACCAACCCAATCTTCCTTTGCAGCAAGCTGAAAAGCTCTGGAATTTGACAGATACCTCTGTAGATGGAGCTTGGGATGGAGGGGTTTGTGTAAGAAAATAAGAATTGGCTGAGAGCTTATTTATGAAGTAGTGGGTCCCAGGTCCCCTCCACATTCTGTGAGCTGAATCACTGCCCCTTCCCTGGCCCAACAAAAGTCTGTGGCTTTGTTCTTCAGTGAGAGTAAAAGAGAGGGTCTCTGGGCTGAAGCACAACAAGCTCAGCTGAGGTCTAGGGTCTATGCTGAAAATGGGGTATTCAAGGGACATTTGTCTACTGGATGCTGAGACGCTGGCCCACCCACCTCCACCTGCCCACGTGCTCCACCATGATGCCGCAGCCAGGAGGAAACAGTGCTCACGATTCCGTCAGCTCCAAAGGAAAGACTTAAAGATACTGACATGAGAGTTTCCTCAGCTCCACAGCCCTGTGTAGTCACCCTACAAGGACACCCTCAAGCACACACTCAGAACTTCCAGTTTTTTATTTGTTTGCTTGTTGATGTTTGAGAAAGGGTCTCACTCTGTTGCCCAGGCTGGAGTGCAGTGGCGCCATCTCAGCTCACTCTCACCTCGACCTTCCTGGGCTCAAGTGATCCTCCCACCTCAGCCTCCTGAAGAGCTGGGACCACAGACATGCACCACCACACCCGGCTAATTTTAAAATTTTTTGTAAAGATGGGGGTCCCACTATGTTGCCAGGCTGGTCTTAAATTTAGCCTCAAGCAATCCTGCCTCAGCTTCCCAAGGCATTGGAATTATAGGCGTGAGCCACCACACCCAGTCCCAATCAGTTTTTTTAGCCCCTACTTTTAAATATCAGCAGAAAAGATTTGCCAGACATCTAAAGAAAATTTCTAACATGAAAGAGAAAGGAAAAAAAATAAACATACTAAAATAAGAAGCTCAGAGGGATCAGCCTATTTGAGGAGAAGAACATTCAGGAAAATAAACTATTCTTGATGTTTTCAGAGCTGTGAAAAAATATTGCAACCATAAAACAAGAGCGGGATATGATACAAAAAAGAAACATCCAAACCATAAAAAGCTCTAGAAATTTACAAATATGATAGTGGAAACAAAAAAAATCTCAAAGTATACAGATAAGAGAATAAAGTTGAAGCTATGGCTCAGCAAGTTGTTTAAAAAGAAAACCAAGGATGTCCAAGAGAGAAAAAGACAATCAGAAGGCCAATCCACAAGGTCAGATATTAGAGCAACAGGAGTTTTAGAAAAAATGAGAGACAGAGATAGAATAAGAGCCAGCAAGGGAGGGATGGGGTGGGCAGGGTGGGGGGAGGGGTAGTGTGTCAGCCAAAAGGGAGGAAATTATCAATAAAATATTTTAAGACAAATTTTCAGAAACAAAGGACATGACTTTTCAAATTGAAAGGAGTCACTGAATGTCAAGCATAATGGGTGATGGATGAAAATGGGCACTTACCAAGCCCTGTGAAATTACAGCCTACTGGAGACACAGAGAAGATCCTATGGGCTTCCAGAGGAAAACAACAGATCAGGTACAAACGATTGGGATTTGAGGTGACTTTGGTTTTCCCAACAATAACACTAGAGTGCAGAAAATTCCAAGGGAAAATCATTTCCATTGTAGGATTCTATACCCAGCCAAACTATAAGCCAAGTGTGAAGATAAAATGCATTTTAGACATGCAAGGTCTCAAAAGATCTGCCTTTAAGGGCCCTTTCTTGAGAAGCTGTTGGAGGATATCCTGCAACAAAGAAGGAGTAAGCTAGGTAAGAAGAAAATATGTTTGCTACATGAAACAATAGAACCAACTTAGGATACAAGTTCCAGGGTGATGCTGAAGGGAGACCCAGGATGACAGCTGACAACTGGAGGATATCCTGCAACATTAAAGGAATAAGCCAGGTAAGAAGAAAATATATTTGCTACATGAAACAATAGATCCAGCTTAGGAGACAGATTCCAGGGCGATGCTGAAGGGAGGCCCCAGAACATCAGCTGGGAATTTGGTATAAAAACCAATCAGTCCAGGGCACAACAGATCAGAAGACTCCAAGCAAAACTTCCTCAGGATGTCAAATCTGATAGAATACCTGGTGTGTCTAAAAGTCTTGAGAGGCTATTTAAAAAATTAGTGAATGTTTGGGATTGAAATAGTAGTGGGTGTATAGAAAACTAAGCCAATATAAAGGCTAGACTTTGAATCATTAACTCCAGGGAAGGGAAAGCAAAATGTTACTGAGGAAAGGAAAAGTAAACATGATTTTACTACATGGATCAACTGTGAATTTACAAAGCTTAATAAGGTAAGCACCTGATAGTAAAGTAACCAATGTTATGACTTAACAGTACTGGGAGGATGGGAGATGGGAAGGCTATACTTGGCATGATGGTGGTAGGAATATGAGAGGGGTAAGCTCTTATTTGCCATAGGGACAGTTGTCACTATTTTTCTGGCAAATCAAGAAGTAGCAATTATTTTCCTCAGAGCATGTTATTTAGAGGTATGAAGGTAAATTTAAAAATAATTAGGTAAAAAAGTTGAATTTATCTTGTAACTTTGTGTAGCAAATTCCCACAAACTTAGCAGCTTAAAAGAACATCTATGAAAAAAGTCATTGTTTCTCAAAAGTTCAACAGAATTATCAAAAAACCCAGAAATTCCACTTGCAAGTATACACTCAAAAGAAGTAAAATTTCCAATAAGCACATGTGCAGGCATGGTTATGGTAGTAGCATTTACAATAGCTGAAAGGCAGAAGCAACCCAAATGCCCATCCTCAGATGAATGGATAAACGGTGGAATATGCATGGAGCATTACTCAGCCGAAAAGTGAGACAAAGTACTGATAACATCTTACAACATAGATAAGCCTTGAAAACAATTGTACTAAACCTTGAAAACATTATACGAAGTGAAAGAAGACAGACAAAAAGTCATATATTGTCTGATTCCTTTTATATGAGATGCCCAGAATAGGTAAAATGATACGGAAAGCCGATGGTTGCCAAGGGCTGGGTTGGAGGTGAGGAATGAGGAGGAGTTGCTTTATGGGTATAAGGTGCCTGTTTAGGGTGATGAAAATGTTTTAGAACTGTATGGAAGTCACCATTTGCACAAATGCCACTGAATTGTCCTAAATCCCACTGAATTGTTCACTTTAAAGTGGTTAATTTTATGTTATGTGAATTTCACCTCAATTAATAAAACATGTAATCTAATTGCCCAGTATTATTCTGGGTTAGTGTGTGCAGCACTCCACTAATGAGGTAGAATTATACCATGAGGTAGAATTATAACCTTATTTACTTTTTTAAATTTATTTAGGCAATTCTATTCTTTCTCTTCAATTTATACCATTCCAAAAAATGGAGTAATACGCGCCTTTTTCTTTTTTTGAGATGGAGTTTCGCTCTTGTTGCCCAGGCTGGAGTGCAATGGCGCAATCTTGGCTCACTGCACCCTTCGCCTCCTGGGTTCAAGCGATTCTCCTGACTCAGCCTCCCGAGTAGCTGGGATTACAGGCACCCACCACCACGCCCAGCCAATTTTTTGTATTTTTAGTACAGATGGGGTTTCACTATGTTGGCCAGGCTAGTCTTGAACTCCTGACCTCAGGCGATCCACCCACGTCAGCCTCCCAAAATGCTGAGCGTGAGCTATCATGCCCGGCCGTTCTTCTTTAAAAACAAAACAAATAAACAAACAAAAAAACCCTAAGAGTGGAGGAAGGGGTGTGCTTATTAGTGGTGTCTTTTGAAAATGTCCTGGGTCCTTTTAACTTGAGTTATCAACTAAATAGGACAAGTCTGTATTCTGCAGCATGAGGAAGAATATCCAGAAATCATGACCTTGTCTATGTGAAATAAGACTCTTTCTGAAAAACAAAACAAAAACACCCCATGCATTTACTATTCCACAGTTTTGGAAGGTCTAAGCTATTTAATTGGATTCTCTGCTGATGTTCTCACATGGCTGAAACCAGGCTGCTACCCAGGGCCGCTTCTCATCTGAGGCTTGGGGTCCTCTTCCACGCTCATGCAGATTGTTGGGAGAAACCGGAAGTTCTAGGACTGAGGTCTTTGTTTTTTTGCTAGCTGTCAGCTAAGGACTGCTCTCAGGTCCTAGAAGCTACCCATAGTCACTTGCCAAGTGGCTCATACAGGCTTTCTTCCAGGCCAGCTGAAGCAGGTCTCTCTGATTTCCTCTTCTGCAACCAGACAGAGAAAACTCTTTGCTTTCAAAGGGCTCACCTGATTATATGTGGCCTACCTAGAATACTTTTCCTTTGGCCATAAATGTGACATAGTCATGGGAGTGATATCATACTCATAGTTTCTATCCACACTCAAAAGGGAGGGCATTTTATAAGGACAAGGGTCATTGGTGGTTATATTAGTCAGGGTTCTCAAGAAAAACAGAGCCAATTGATTTTATTTATTTATTTATTTATTTATTATAAGGAATTGGCTCATGTGATGATGGAGGCTGACAGGTGCTAAGATATGCGGGGTGAGTCAGCAAGCTGGAGACCCAGGACAGCCAACGGTATAGTTCTACTCTGAAGCCCAGCAGGCTCAAGAATCAGGAAGAGCTGATGTTTCAGTTTGAGTCTGAAAGAAGGGAAAAGCTGATGTCCAAATTCGAAGTCAGGCAGGCAGGAGGAATTCCCTCTTGTTCAGGGGAGAGTCAGCCTTTTTGTCCTATTCTGGACTTCACCTGATTGGATAAGGGCCACCCACATTAGAGAGGGCCATCTGCTTTACTCAGTCTACCAATTTAAATATTAATCTCACCCAAAACACCCTCACAGAAACACCTAGAACAATATTTGACCAAATATCTGAGAACTCCATGGTCCAGTCAAGTTGCCACATGATATTAACCCTCATGGTGAGCATCTTAGAATTCTGCCTCCCGTAGAAAGGGAAAGAAGTAGCTACTGGAGAGGGGGCAACTGGAGGAAAAAAAAGTGGATGGGTGATGTTTTCCATGCCAACCTTGTAGAGATATTTGACTTGTACTTAGACCTGGGCCATACACCATATCCTTCCCTATAGGGTCAGGAGCCTGTGGGGACAATGGGCCATGTCCACATGGAGCCTGTGACCCCATCTTCTGTCTAGACCATGTCAGGGACCACTGAATACCCTGATCAAACAGCTCTGCGCCTGCATGTAAATTGTGAACTGGTCTCTTTCCCAGGCTAGTCCTCTTGTTGGTGGACTGAACACTGCTGTGTGTACCTCCAGATCTGAGAAATGGACCAGGGCAGCTATTTGTGATGGTACCGATAGCACTTGAACATGTTGGCTGAGGTGTCTTTTTAAAGTTAAACTTTCAGTTTTGGGGTAATTGTAGATTCACATGCAGTTGTGAGAAATAACACAGAAAAATCCCAGGTTACTGTTTACCCAGTTTCTCCCAATGGTGACACCTTGTAAAACGACAGTACAGTATCACGTTGAAATTAACATTGATACAACCCGTCAACCTTATGCACATTTCCCTAGTTTTTACTCCTACTGATGTGTGTGTGTTTATTTGTATGCAAATATTATCACATGTGTAGGTTTGTGTATCCACCACCACAGCCAATGTATAAAACAACCCCATCACTAAAAGGATCTCTTATGTTCTTTTTTTTTTTTTTTGAGACAGAGTCTCACTCTGTTGCCCAGGCTGGAAAGCAGTGGTGTGATCTCAGCTCACTGCAAGCTCTGCCTCCTGGGTTCACACCATTCTCCTGCCTCAGCCTCCCTAGTAGCTGGGACTACAGGTGCTTGCCACCCCACCAGGCTAATTTTTTCTATTTTTAGTAGAGATGGGGTTTCACCGTGTTAGCCAGGATGGTCTCGATCTCCTGACCTCATGATCCGTCCACCTCAGCCTCCCAAAGTGCTGGGATTACAGGCGTGAGCCACCGCGCCCGGCCTCTTGTGTTCTTTTATAACCACATCAACTTCATCAACTTCTGTCCTACACTCCCTCTGTCCTACTGGCAACCACTACGCTGTTCTTCATTTCTATAATTTTTGTCATTTCAAGAATGTTATATAAATAGAAACATATAGTATGTAACATTTTAGGGTTAACATTTTTTCCTACACAGTGTAACTCCCATGAGATTCTTCCAATTGTTGTATGTATTAATAGTTTGTTCCAAATGTTGGCCAGGATGCAGAGAACCAGGATCAGTCATACATTTCCAGTGAGAATATAAAATAATACAGCGTCTCTGGAAACAGGTTGGCAGCTTCTTACAAAACTAAACATGCAATTTCCGTGTGACTCAGCAATTGTCCTCACTGGCATTTAACCTAGAGAGATGAAAACTTATGTTCACACTAAAACCTGTATATGAATGTCTATAGCAACTTTATTCTTAATACTCCAATGCTGAAAACAGCCAGTCCTTCGGCGGATGAATTGTTAAACCATGGTACATCTATACTGTGTTTCTCTATGGAGCTACAAAGAGGAACAAACTATTGATATGCATGACAAGTCAGAGGCTAGTATTATCCTAAGAGAAAAACCAGAGAAAAGCAGTAAAAAACAAACAAACAAACAAACAAAACTGGGGTAGTGCTTTCTTTTTTACTTCCTGCAGAAACCCGAGCCACCTTCAGTTGCTATACTGGGGCTGGGGCTGGGTAACCTTCCTCTGTTGGGTGTGAGCTGTAAGATGCTTGGCTGCTGTGTTGTTCCTCCAGTCCTGGGATCTCTAACCAGTTCATCTTCTTCTTACCACCTCTCAGAGTTCTCCTTTTGTTGCCTCTTGAGTTATTTCTGGGGCTTATTGTTGTACTCAGTGGGGACAAGTGGGGTGATCAAGTCTATGATATGTTGTTTAAACTGGGAGTCCCAAGGTGTCATTTTATACTCTGAAGGGTGGCACAGAGCCACAGGTGGGGAGGAAGATAGAGATGATCTAGGGCCAGGGGTAGGGAGCTTTTTCTACACTATTATTTATGAAACAAAATTGGAGCTGTCTAAAATTTACACTGAGTCTTCTAGGTCATTTTGAATATACATATTTGTCAAGGCTGGAGTAGACAATGCATATTTTTTAGCAGCTTATTAACATGACTTATGACTTTTAAATATTTGCATACCAAATTCATAAAACTCCGTTTCTACTCCTGCCCCAGCCTGGCAATTGCTAAGGGCAGGCCTAGTAAGTGTGTAAGTCATTAATAAAAAGTAAAAATAAAAATACTTTCTTTAAAAGGGGGAAAAACATTTTCTCGTTTCACCTTTTAGTAAGCTGATTAGAAAAAGTGAACTTCGGGGCCAGGCATGGTGGCTCACACCTATAATCCCAGCGCTTTGGGAGGCTGAGGTGGGAAGATCACTTGAGACCAGGAGGTCAAGCAATGTGCAGCATAGTGAGGCCCTGTCTCTAAAAAAAATTTTTTTTTTTTAAATTAGACAGGTGCGGTGGTGAGTGCCTGTAGTCCCAACTACTTGGGAGGCTGAGGCGAGAGGACTGCTTGAGCCCAGGAGTTCAAGGTTACAATGAGCTATGATGGTGCTACTGCACTCCAGCCTGGGCAACAGAGTGAGACCCTGTTTCTAAAGAAAGAAAAAAGTGAACTTTATTTTTATTTCATTTTTTCTTTGCATGTTTTTGAAAGACTCATGAGGAATATGACGGGTGGTCCACTTGGAGAATGAGGCCTGGTGTCAGTTCAGAGCTGGGTCTGGCTTCTCATAAAAGATAGATATTATTGCTTAGTATGATGCTAAGAAAAAGTGGGCAGTTGCCTTAAAGAAATATATTAAGTAACAAAATTAAGTAAATAGAATATTCTAGGGCCATGGAAGAATAAGAAGCACAAGGAATCTGCCTCCTCACCTAGGCAACAATTGAACTGCCAGACTCTGTCTGATATAACTATTTTGAAACTCTGGAGTCTACCTAAGGCTTGTAAATGCCAAGAGAAGGTTTGGATGGTAAATTGCAATTAATTTTACTAAATTTTAGCTTTTAGTGCAGTAGCAACTACCCATTCTCCATGGTAGGAAACTTTGCACACATTCTGGGAGCAGCTTAAAAGAGCCAGAGTGGGCAAAAGGGACCCTGTCCTCCAAATATCAGGAATCTGTGCTCTGATTGCTGATTGCTGCTTCTAATCACAGAGATGCAGCCAAAAAGGTGGCAATCATTGTTGTTACACCTCCCCTCATTGCTGCAAGCCCCTCTCCCTCCAGCTGAAGCAAATTCCAGGGTACTTAAAGGGGTGGGACATCTGACTTTCCCTTCATTTTTCTGTTTTTGTGCTTTTGGGGACCAGATATTAGACACTAGGACATTCAAAAGCAACTGTATTCATGGAGGAAATTAAAAAACGACTGCACATGCTCCCAAAAGGGGCAGGCTCAGCAAAGACCCGATACAACCTTAAATTTATGCCTTAGGCTGATTTTCAGCACAGAGACGGTCTATAAGAAAAAAAATCAAAAGCCATAAACAAAACAAAAAAACTGCAAACTCTGGGTAAGGGGGAATTGGATTTCCAGAGTTACCACATTGTTAGATTCAAATGTCCAGTTTTCAACAAAAAATTACAACGCACACAAAGAAACATGAAAGTATGGCCCACTTAAAGGAAAAAATAAATTAGCAGAAACTGTTTCTGGAAAAGGCTTGATCTACTGGACAAAGACTTTGGAATAACTGTCTTAAAGATACTTAAAGAACTAAAGAAAAATGTAGTGAAAATAAAGAACAAATGTATAAATAAAATGGAAATATTAATAAAGGAGATAAAAACCAAAAGAGAATCAGAAACTCTGGAACTGAAAAGTACAAGCAAGAAAATAAAAAACATTTGATAGAGGGATTGAAAAGCAAATTTGAACAGGCAGAAGAAAGAATCAGCAAACTTGAAGACAGGACAATGGAAATTATTGAATATGGGAAACAGAAAAAAAAAAAAGATTGAAGAAAAGTAAACATAACCTAACAAACCTGTGGTGGACACCATTAAGTGGAAAAAATAAGCATTGTGGGAATCCCAAAAGGAGAAGAATGAGAGAAAGGGGCAGAGAAAATATTTTAAGAAATAATTGCTGAAAACTCCCCAAATTTGATGAAGATATGAATATAAACATCCAAGAAGCTCAATGAACTCCAAGTAGAATGAACTCAAAGAGACCTACACCAAGACACATTAAAATCAAACTCTTAAAAATCAAAAACAGAAAATCTTAAGAGCAGCAAAAACCAAGCAACTTCTCACATACAAGGGAATCTCAATAAGATTAAAAGTAAATTTCTCATTAAAAACTTTAGAGGCCCAAAGGCAGTGAGCTGATATACTAAAAAGGCTAAAAGAAAAAAACTATCAACTAAGAATCTTGTATCCAGCAAAACTGTCCTTTGAAAGTGAGGGAGAAATTAAGACATCCCCAGATAAACAAAAGCTGAAGGACTGTGTCACTGCTGAACCTGTTCTAGGTGAAATAAAAGGACACTATATAGTAACTCAAAGCTGTTTGAAGAAATAACAATCTCGGTAAAGGTAAACACATGGGCAAGTATAAAAGCTAGTATTATCATAACAATGGTTTATAACTCCTTTTTTGTTTTATACATGATTTAAGAGACTACTTTTGTGACATTTACAACTGAATGGGTGGGGATGGAACTGTAAAGATGCAGAGTTTTTGTGTATTAATTAAGTTAAGGTGGTATACATTCAAATTAGAGTGCAGTGACTTTAGGATGTTAAATGTAACCCCCATGGTCACACCAAGAAAATAGCCATGGGGTGATTTCAGTTATATGAGGTACTTAGAATAGTCAAATTTATAGAGACAGAAAGTAAAATGGTAAATTCCAGGGGTTCAGGGAAAAGGGGAATGGAGAGTTATTGTTTAATGAGTATAGAATTTTATTTTTGAATGATGAAAAGAGTTTTTGAGATGAATGATGGTGATGGTTGCACAACAACATGAATATATTTAGTATCACTAAACTGTACCTTTAAAAGTGGTTAAAATAGGCAATTTTATGCTATGCCTATTTTACCACAATAAAAAATTGAAAAAAATTTTAAAAAATTCTATTTTAGGGAGGAGATGGAAATGTTCTACATCTTGATTTGGGTGGTATTTACATGGTGGGTACAATGATTAAAACTCATCAAATGTAGGAAGAATCAATATTGTTAAAGTGGCCATACTGCTCAAAGCAATGTACAGATTCAATGCTATTTCTATCAAACTTCTGATAATATTTTTTTACAGAATTAGAAAGACTATTCTAAAATTCATATGGAGCCCAAACAGCCTGAATAGCCAAAGCAATCCTAAGCAAAAAGAACAAAGCCAGAGGCATCACATTACTCAACATCAATCTATACTACAAGGCTATCAGTAACCAAAACAGCATGGTACAGGTACAAAAACAGACACATAGACCAATGTAACAGAATAGAGAACCCAGAAATAAAGCCACACACCTACAACCATCTGATCTTTGACAAAGTCAACAAAAACAAGCAATGGGGGAAGGACTCCTTATTCAATAAACAGTGCTGAGATAACAGGCTAGCCATGTGCAGAAGATTGAAACTGGACCCCTTCCTTACACCATATACAAAAACCAACTCAAGATGGATTAAAGACTTAAATGTAAAACCTAAAACTACAAAAACCCTAGAAGAAAATCTAGGAAGGGCCCTGGCAAAGATCTTATGACAAAGAAGACAAAAGTAACTGCAACAAAAACAAAAACTGACAAATGGGACCTAATTAAATTAAAGAGCTTCTGCACAGCAAAAGAAACTATCAACAGAGTAAACAGACAACCTACAGGATGGAAGAAAATATTTGCAAACCATGCATCTGACAAAGGTCTAATATCCAGAATCTATAAGGAACTTAAACAAATTAACAAGCAAAAACAAACAACCCCATTAAAAATTGGGCAAAGGACATAAACAGACACATTTCAAAAGAGGACATATATGGGGCCAACAAACCTATGAAAAACTTCTCAACATCATTAATTATTGGAGAAATGCAAATCAAAACCACAATGAGATACCATCTCATACCAGGCAGAATGGCTATTAGTAAAAAGTCAAAAAAATAACAGATGCTGGTGAGTTTGTAGAGAAAGGGGACACTTGTATACTGCTGGTGGGAATGTAAATTAGCTCAGCCATTCTGGAAAGCAGTTTGATGATTTCTCAAAGAACTTAAAATAGAATTACCATTCGAACCAGCAATCCCATTTTTGTATATATACCCAAAGGAATATAAATCTACCATAAAGACACATGCACGTGTATGTTTATTGCAGCACTATTCACAATAGCAAAGACATGCAACCAACCTTAATGCCCATCAACAGTAGACCGGATAAAGAAAATGTGGTACATATACACCATGGGATACTATACAGCCATAAAAAAGAATGAGATTATGTCCTTTGCAGCAACATGGATGGAGCTGGGAACCATTATTTTAATTTAGCTAACACAGAAACAGAAAACCAAATACCACATGTTCTCACTTATAAGTGGGAGCTAAACTTTGAGTATACATGGACACAAAGAAGGGAACAATAGACACCAGGGCCTACTTGGGGGTGGAGGGTGGGAGGAGGGTTAGGATTGAAAAACTACCTATTGGGTACTGTGCTTATTACTTGAGGGAATGGAATAATCTGAACATCAATCCCCCATGACACACAATTTTTCTGTGTAACAAACCTGCATGTGTACCCCTGAACCTAAAGTAAAAGTTAAAAATAACAAAAACTCATCAAATGGAACACTTAAGATTTATATTCTATTGTATGTTAATTATATCTCAATAAAAGTATAAAAACATTAAAAAGTTAAGTAAAGACAGAATCAATAGTTCTCAGAGAAAGGTGAAAATTGTGAGGACGTTCACAACTCACAGAAGTTTGGGATTCATAGATCACCTTGAGGCCATCCTCTCTGAGAGTTCATGAAGCCTTATGCTTGTGAAGAAGCCATTGCTGGTGACAACAGTTGGGTAATAATAACAACCCCCTTGTTAGTGCTTTCAGCACATTATAATTTACACCAAAATTTCAGATATATAATCCTATATGACTTTGCTCAAAGAGGCTGAAAAATATGTGTAATTATTGATGCCTATCTTGGGAAACTGCCCTCCAAAACATTCCAAAGGGGCTTGGCAACTGTTGGGTGGTGACTCTGTAGAACAAATAAAGCTTTTACCTCCCTTGAGCAAACCCCATGGAATGCAATGTCTGGGCACCGTGCTGGCCAGACCTGGCGTAGCTAATGTCAAGAGGCTAGAACAAACCTGCCCACTGAGTTGGGTCATGGGTTAGGAAGCTGGCCCCCCTCCTACAGGTGCCGAGAGGATGTGAGGAGAAGGGTGCAGCAGGTACAACATGGGAGGGTCTTTGTCACCATGTCTTTCACTCTTTTCTCTCACTCTCAACTCCTACAGATACGTATATATTAAACAACAAATCAAAAGTGTATAAAGTGAAAATAAAAGTTTCTTCATTCCAATACCACTAAAATCCAGCCTTCAGAATTCACCATGGTTAAAAGACAGTGATTCTTAAATTCTTTTTCTGCTCTAAGCATTTATTTTGAGTGATCTCATCCATGCCCATGACTTTGAATATCACCTGTAGTTTGATGTGTTTCATATCTCTTATCTTCTGAGTTCCAGAAAACAATAACCAATGTCTACTGGAGAAACTCCACCAGGATATCCCTCAAGCACCAAAAACACATGTCCCAAGCTGTCTTTTTGTCTTCCCTTAACCTGCTTTGATGGTGTCAGTTCCTGTCTTCCAACTCCAGCTGGAAGCCTGTGGTCCTCTTCTACTCCTCCTGCCCCTCAACTCCCACATCCAATCACCATAGCCTGTTTATCTTATTTTTCTCATACATAAAGAATTTAAAATATTGTATGAAGTCAACTTTTCCCTGAGTCCAGATGGCTTTCAGAGGTGAGGAGCAAAAGGTTAAGATCATTGAGAAGCACAGGGAAGGAGAGCTTAGGGTAGGGACTGCCACACACATTCCACAGAGGAGACTTCAAGTGTCTTGGGAGACATGTTGGGGCAGGGTGAGGGGTGTCTTAGTTTGGGTTTCCTTGGAAGCAAAACCCTAAGATAATCATGGGTACATATAGTCGATTTGGGAGGTGAGTCAAAGAAGCAGAAGTGAAGGAGCATTAGGAGTGATACTGGGAAGGGAGGAATGTCGGTCAAGTGTTTGTGAATGAGTAGATCACTGTGGGTAACTGGGGCTCAGTCTTACTGGGGACTGTCTGAGAAGCTGTATGGAATACATCCTAGAACTGTCCCTCTAGAACTGTAGGGCTGATACCAGTCTCCATTGGTTGTGGGTCACCTCCAGAGGTTAACACCCCCACACTTCTGGAATGCACAACACATGGCTGAGCAGTCTTCTCAAGCTCCTCTGAAAGCAAAGCAGAGAGATGCCATGGCATGCACTTGATATGGGATGTTAACAGTGGTATACGGAGGAAGACATAGTACATCACAAATGTTTACTACGAGGGGAGGTAGAGTGAGCCCAGCTCCTGGCCCCAACACCCACTAAATCATAGAACTTCCCTGACTATTTTATGTACATCAAAGTTTCATTAGTTGTTTGATTTGAAGAAAGCATTTTGCAGCTGGAATCGTTTGAAAGACACTGTTCTTTACAGTCTGATTTCGGCCTAATTAGTAGCTTCACTCTGTGTGCCCCTACTTGACATATATGACTGTATATCCCCAATTCCCTGGCAGATACTGAAATTCCAGCATTAAAATCTCAAGCACTCATTCTATTCACATGAAATCTCTGTTAAGATGCATGTACCCCTGACAGGACCCTCTCTGAGCTGCCATTTACATTTAATGTAATTAATGATAAAATAGGATTTACATCTGCCATTTTGCCATTTGTTTTCTGTCCCGAGTCTTTGTTCTTTTATTCCTCTGTCACTGACTTATTTTATGTTGAATATTTTCTAGTGTACCATTTTAATTTCCTTGTTATTTATTTCACTATAATTCTTAAGTCATTTTCTTAGTGGTTGCCCTGGGGTGAAAATTAGCATCTCAACTTTAAAAATAATCTAGTTTAGATTAATACTAACTTAATGTCAATTGCATACACAAATTTTGCTTCAATAACACTCAATTTCCTTGCCCTTCCATTGTGAAATTATTGTCATACAAATTACGTTTTTATACATTATAAACACATAAACATAGTTTTATAATTATTGCTTCATGCTGTTGTCTTTTTAAAATAATTGATTTTTTAAAAAATTTGTGGCAAAATATACGTAACATAAAATTTAGCATTTTGACAATTTTAAGTGAACACTGTTCGGTGGCATTAAGCACATTCACATCGTTGTTCAACCGTCACCACCATCCATCTCCAGAACTCTTTTCATCCTGCAAAACTGAAACTCTGTACTCATTAAACAATAACTCCTAATTTCCCCCACCCCAAGCCCCTGACAACCACTATCATAGTTTTATCTTGATGAATTTGACTACTTTAATAACTTACATGAGTGAAATTATACAGGATCCTGTGAGGAATTGTCATACAGTTTTTCATAGTGGCTGTCCTGTCCAAAGTGCCATTTTTGCCAACACTAATTATTTTCTGTGGTTTTTTTTTTATAGCAGCCATCCAAATGAGTGTTATTTTCTTAATTGTTAGTCATGTTGAGCATCTTTTTATGTGCTTATTGGCCATTTGCATATCTTCTTTGGATAAATCTCTCTTCAAGTCTTTTGCTCATTTTAAAATTTTGGATTGTTTTTTGTTCTTGAGTTTTAAGGATTCTCCATACATTCTGTATATTAATCCCTTATCAGAAATGTGATTTGCAAATATTTTCTCCCATTCTTTGAGTTGCCTTTTTACTCTATTGATAGTGTTTACAAAGTTTTTAATTTTGATGAAGTCCAATTTGTCTATTTTTTCTTTTATTGCTTGTGCTTTTGGTGGCATTACCAAATCCAATGTCATGAAATATTTGCCCTCTGTTTTCGTCTAAGGATTTTATAGTTTTAGCTCTTAGATTTAGTTCTTTGGTCCATTTTGAATTTGTTTTGTATATGTTATTAGGTAAGAGTCCAACTTCATTCTTTTGCATTTGGATATAGTTTTCTCAGCACCAATTGTTGAAAAGACTGTCTTTTCCCCCTACAGAATGGTTTGGGCACCCTTGCAAAAAATCATTTGGCTATATATGTGAAGATTTATTTCTGGGCTCTCTATTCTATTCCTTTGAGTCCATATGTCTGTCTTTAATGCCAGTACCACACTATTATGATTACTGTTGCTTTGTAGTAAGTTTCAAAAAATCAAATAGGAAAAAAGAGAGTTACAAAAAATAATACACGTGTACTATGTTTTATATTTATCTAAGCAGTTAACTTTACCAAGAATCTTTATTTATGTGGATTCATGTTACTTTCTAGTGTCCTTTCATTTCAGCCTGCAGATTCTTTTTAGTATTTCTTGTGGGGCAGGTTGGTTAGTGATAAATTCTGTTTTTATTTATTTGGGAATGTCTTAATTTCTCTTAATTCTTGGTTGACAGCCTTGCTCTTTCAACATTTTGAATATGTCATCCCACTAATCTCTGGCCTCTGTGGTTTCTGATGAGAGGTCACCTTTTAACCTTATTAAAGATCCATTATATATAATGAGTTCATTTTTTAATTTTCAGATTCTTTCTGCCTTTGAACTATTTGATAATAATATGTTTAAGTGTGAATTTCCTTGATTTTCTCCTATGTGGAGTTCATTAAGTTTCAGAAAAATTTTATCCATTATTTCTTCAAATATTATTTCCATTTCTTTCTCTCTCTCATCTCCTCTGAGACTCCCATTATATGTACATTGGTGTGCTTGATGGTGACATACAGATTCATTTTTCTTTATTCTTTTTTTTTCTGTTTCTTAGATTGGATAATCTCAATTAACTTGTCTTCAAGATAATAGATTCTTTCTTCTGCCATCTGAAATCTGTTGTTGAGCCTCTCTAGTCAAAATTTCATTTTACTTATTTTATGAAAAGTCACTGTGCTTTTCAATGCTGGGATTTCCATTTGGTTCTTGTTTGTAATTTGTATCTCTTTATTAATATCCTCTATTTGGTTAGACATCACCCCTATACTTTCCTTTAATTGTTTAGACATGCTTTCTCTTAGTTCTTTGAACATATTTATAAATCTGATTTTAAAGTCTTTGCCTAGTAGGTACAATATCTGTTTCCCTTTGGGGACAGTTTTTATTAATACTTAATTTCTCAGTATGGACATATTTTCCTGTTTCATGTGTGTCTCATAATTTGTGTTGAAAACTGGACATTCTACATAATAGAACCTGGGAACTCTGGAAATCAGATTTCCACACTTTTTTGCTGTGCTGCTATTGTTGTCTCTGTTCAGTTGGCTTAGTGGTCAGCTAACGATTGGCCGGAGATTCTCTTAAATTCCTTGATCAATAAGTGTTTGTATCCTTTGCTAAGGGGCTCTCTGTGTGTGTTGGGGCACATCTGCATCACTTGGCAGTTCTAGGATTTCTGCTTTAGCCTTTACTTCCTGCTGGCATAAGACCTCAAGGCCAAATATATGTGAAATATTGAGGCTTTCTCGAGGCCTCACACAAGCCTGCTCACAAAACAGCCTTCTAGATCCTCAGGAATATGCCAGATCTTTTCAATGTGGATATTTCACTTCTCACATCTTTCTCTACGTTTTTGGCTAGGCTCTTGTTTGACTAAATTGGTATCACTGCTCCAGGCAGCTGTGATGTTAAACAGGTGCTGCTGATTGTTTTTGAAAAACACTTTGGGACTAGGACTTCTCCTCCAGGGCAAAATTTAAGTCAGATCATGTAAAAACAACACCTTTCCAGGGAGCTGCAAGATGAATCAAATAGTGACAATGTTCTGGGGATGAGGCTACATAAGGAGCTTCAAACTGGTCTGCCCCGTCTGGTGGCTGCGTTACTGGTTTTTAAAGATATGGGTGATTGTGAGGCTTCCGGGTTATAAGGCTACAGAGAAGAGAAAGGGGGAGGGAAACAGGTCAAATTACAAAGTCACAGATCTTGGTGTTTTTATTGAGATTTTGCAATTTTCTGGAATGAATGCTCCTCAGATTATTGTAAATTTGGTTAATTTTGAGTTCTATAAAATTGATTTTGACAATTTTTGTCAGCATTTTCATTGCTTTTACAGAGGTCCTTATTCCTGAATTTCCATCTCCAGAATATGCATTGTATGTATGTATGTATTTTCTGTTACGGAAAATTTCAAATACATACACAAATAGAGAGAATAGGATAATAAAGTCCCATGTACCCATCAAGACAGGTTCAACAAATTTTAACATATGGCTGGTTTTGTTTCATTTTGTTGTAGTCTGCATCCCAAGAAAGCAGAGGCTCAAGTGAAGATGTAGACACTTTATTAAGGAGGGCTTTCCTAGAGAAAGAGCCAATACTAGGGTGTTATTGAGCTAGCCACTGCTAAGTGCAACTGATTGCCTTTTTTTTTTTTTTTTTTTTTTTTTTGAGATGGAGTCTCGCTATGTCACCCAGGCTGGAGTGCAGTGGTGTGATCTCAGCTCACTGCAACCTCTGCCTCCCAGGTTCAAGTGATGCTCCTGCCTCAGCCTCCTGAGTATCTGGGATTACAGGCATGCATCACCACACCTGGCTATTTTTTTTTTTTTATTATTTCTAGTAGAGATGGGGTTTCACCATGTTGGCCAGGCTGGTCTCGAACTCCTGACCTCAAGTGATCCACCTGTCTTGACCTCCCAAAATGTGAGATTACAGGTGTGAGCCAGTGCGCCCAAACTCCCAAATGATTGCCTTCGATAAGTCATTATAAGCTGCTTTTCAGGGCTGTGCGCCTCTGTGAGAAAGGTGGAAGAATGTATCCATTGAGCCCTATCTCTTTGATGAAAGGATCATCATGCAGGGTATTAACTCCTCTGTACTTCCAGTTTGAAGTGTGTGGCTGCTTACGGGTGCAAAGGGAGATGCAGTCAGGTGACAACACCAGTTCCTGCAGCAGCGACTGGCACAAGTGACAGGTGAGGCCAAGAGATTGGAAGGCCTGATACACATCTGTATGTTACCCCAGCTCCTTGTCCCCGCCTCCCATGTTGGATTAGGATCTGCATTTATAACAAGCTTCCCAGCTGCTCTCAATGTACTCTGGAGGGCGCTTATCTCACTCCTTTTTTTTTTTTTTTTTTTTTTTTTTTTGAGACGGAGTCTCGCTCTGTCGCCCAGGCTGGAGTGCAGTGGCGCGATCTCGGCTCACTGCAAGCTCCGCCTCCCGGGTTGCACGTTGAAATCACTAGGTTCCTGAGTCTGGCGTTGACTAGTTGTTAAATTCTGGAGGCTGGCTGTAGTAACTAGGGCTCCCTCTGCTGGTCATAATTAAGATTTCAGCAGGCTGTCCCCAGCCCTCAGCATCCTTGAGTCTTAACATTCCAGCCACAGCTATCCAAGCCTACCCCTGTGATTCTCCAGAAAAGGGGGCCTCTGCTGTGCTCTAGGCAGATCCTCAGATCCCTCAATGTAGGCATCTCCCTGATGTCACAGACTCAGCCCTGATTAGACCACTTCTGACTAAAGAGAAATCCAAATCTCACCTCTTTCAAAAGTCCTCTCAATTACCTCCAGTCAGAATGAATTGTACTCTCAAATCCTGGTGCTGTGGGGCGGCAGTAAGGAACCACTTTGACAGAGATGATGCTTTAGCCAATGCCTGGCCCTGGCTGTAATAATTCAATCTGATCTTTACTGAGCACTTACTATCTGCCAGGTGCTATTCTAAGTGTTCAACATATAGTAACTCACCCATCATCATGAGTCTATGAGGTGAGCACCATTATTATCTGTGTTGTACAAATGAGGAAACTGAGGTGCAGAGAGTTTAAGTAATTTCCCCAAAGTCACACAGCCAGTTAAGGGGCAGAGCCAGGATCCCTAGGCCTTCTGGTACAATAAATATTATTTGTATTATGACTGTGCCCACCGAGGCACTGTTAAGGCCTTGACATCCATGATCACATTTAGCTTTGCAGATGAGAAGCTGGGACTTGGAGAGGAAGAGGAAGACATTGCAGCTGACCCGGGTCCCCCTGTGCCTCTGCTCACCAAGTCTGCCCAGTGGGCCTCCTGCATCAGACACATCTGTATGCCATAAAAATGCTTATTCCTCGTTGAGTCTTAGCCAGTGAGCTTGGGGATGGATTGTGAGAATCTGCATTTTAATAAGCAGCCCCAGTTGATCCTGATTCACACAGAAATTTGAGAAACCTTACCACCCTGCCCATCCTCATCCATTAGAGCACATTCTACCAGTCACGTTAGATAAAAACTCCTCGAGTGTGGATCTGTTTTTCTTCGTAATGATTAAAAATGCCTTCTCTGCAAGTAACAGCATCTTCGACAATGGTGGCTTAAAATCCTAAAGATCTTTATTTGTTTAGTTCATACAGTGTCCAGAATTTGACAGTCTCAAGACTGGTGTAGCAGCTCAGCAGTGGCGCCAAAGGGCCTCATTCCTTCAACGTCTGTGTTTCACTATCCTTGACTCTTGGCTGTTTTCTGTGCCTGTTGCTTCATTGCCACCAGGTGGTTGCTGCAGATCCAGGCATCTTGTCTAAATAGTTACTTTCCCAGATTTTGCTGCAGCGAGGGCATGGTCACATGACAGGCTTAGCCTAGCGGATGTTCTCACCTGGAATTTTTACTTGGGAGCTGGTGTCAAGAAGAGGGCATGGTGAGGACTCCATTCTGGGGGCAATGGTGATGGCCCTGGTGGCCAGAATGGATTCTCCTGCCATCTTATTCTTAGGTCAAGCAATGATGTCCTTACCTGATGGGCTTTGTGGTGCAGTTTTGGCTGTAGTGCTGGGCTTCATGGTCACTCTTTGCGCCTGCGTGTTTTCTAAGCCTGATTCCCTAATATTTCCAGCTGGTCTGTGAGTTTCCTGATATCCGTTCAACATTTTCTCCTCTCCTCGATTCAGCCAGTGAATGTCCATTGCTACAGATGGACTTACCAGGCTTGGATCCTTCAGGTCTCAGCTGAAACACAATTCCACAGAAACGTCCCCGGGGCTCAGAGAAAAGTTGCCTATTATTCCTGGAACAAAACCTGTGTCTTTCCTTCATCACACTTATCACAGCCTGTCAGCACTTTGTTCGATTACTTGCATTCTGGCTCCCCACTAGGATAGAAGCTCCATGGAGAGATGGACCACTGTCTCCTTGTGTGGATAACATAGAGCCTGACACACAATAGCTGTTCAAAATTGTTGTTGTTGAGTAGATGAATGGATACATGAATGGTTGAAGCGGGCTTGTTTTGAGATGGGGCTGACCTGGGAGTCACCAGATGGGCAGATAAGCCCCTTGCTTCAGGTCACATTCCTTCCTGCAGAGTCATATGGAGATTCCAGTTTTGTTCTTTTGCCATCGTTGACCACAAGAAGGCATCATGAAGAGAAAACCCTATTCTTAAGCGGGGTCACAAGGGTTGTCCCTGCCCTGGCTGGGGAGGGTGCCCGCCACCCCAACAAACACCCACTAGCCAAGCATAACAGGGAATAATAATAAAATAGTAATTAGATATAGACTGTAATTTGGCTCTGATGCTTGTGCATAATGCCTAGTTAGACACTAATAACCCTGGAGATAATAGGGGGCACATTAATGATACCAGGGAGTTTTTCACCAGGCTGACCTGTGTTGGGGCTTATTCCAGTTGCTGTTGTTGCATAACAAACTATCCCTAAACGTAGTGGTGAAGAATATTCATTTATTATTCTTATGGGTGAGCATTTCCGACAGGGCACAGTGGGGATGGCTTGCCTCTTCTCCACACTGTCTGGGTCGCAGCTTGAAGACTTGAGGGCTGAGGATAACTCAGTGTCTGGTGCTGACGTTACCTAAAGGCTTATTTACTCACATGATTGGTGGTTGATTAGCTGATTTGTTGGCTGAATGCCCACATAAGGCATTTCCATGTGATCTGGACTTCCTCATAACATGGTGGCTAGGTTCCAAGGGTGAGCGCCGGTGGAGGTCGGGGCGGGTGGGGAGAGAGAGAGAGAGAGAGAGAGAGAGAGAGAGAGAGAGAGAGAGAGAGAGAGAGAGAGGCAGAAGCCATATGGCCTTTATAATTGATCAGAAGTCACATAGGATCACTGCCACTGAACTCTAGCAGTCAAGGCAGTCTCAAAGACAACCCATATTCCAAGGGAGAAATTAGACTCCACCTTTTGACTGAGACAGGAGAGCATATAGAATTAGAAATACTACTGTGGCCATTTTGGGAAAATATGACCTGTTACAGCCCCCCTCCCCACCCACCCGGCACTGCTGTAACCCACTAAATTGGGATTAATTCCAGCCAGTCGAGGTCAGGCTCTTCCCGGTCCTTTCTATCTGCCTCTCAGCCTCATGTCACTCTGGTTCATTAACACATCTTTCCTTCTCATGTTTCTCCCCCTGCCTGAATTTGAGGAAATCATAACGTTCTTCAAGGCCAGCTCTTATGAGAAGTCCTCCCTGATTGCTCCAGCCTCCCAGCTGGGCCTTAGGGCTTCTTTTCCCTCTGAAACCTGCTTTTCCTTCCAGGACTGGTGTGGAGCTCTGAGCACCAGGGAATGTTATCAAAGAAGATGCAGCTTTGGCATTCTGGACTGAAGCCAGGATCGCAGCACAGTGATTAGGGAGTCAGACACAGAGAAGTGGCCGAAGAGGGGCCAGAGTGAGACTGGAGAGGAAGGAAGGAGCTTCCCACATCACAGCTCCCTAGGGCCCACCTCATGGAGGAAGAGCAATAGAGCTGTGCCCTGTGACACCTGGAGTCCCTGAATTGCTCAGGTGGAAAAGCACTGGTGTTAGTTGCATGCTTCCTTCCCTCACAGCCCATAGCCAGTCCCTCATCACATCTTGTGGGCTCTGCCTTCTCCACTTCCCAGCTACCCATCGCTACCAAACTGGACCACGCCACCCTCATCTCTTACCTGGGTGGTTACAACAACCTCCTCCATGGACTCCCCGCAGCAGCCAGAGGGTTTTCTTTAGAACACAAGTCATATCCTGTCACTTCTTTGCTCAAAACCTTCCTGGGCTTCCCATCTCAATCACAATAGAAGCCCAAGTCCTTATAACAGCTTTCAGGGCTCTACAGGATCTGTGTTCCCCTCCAGTTAACCCTACCCTCACTTTTCCACTGCAGGACCATTGCCTCCTTTATCTTCCTCACACACACCAGGGGTACTCCCAAATGGCTTTGCTCCCCTGCTCCAGAACCTGCTCCTTCAGATGTTCACATGGCTCTCCCTCATCATTCATGCCAAATTTCTACCCAAATACCACCGTCAGAGAGCCTGCCCTGCCCATCCCACCCCCGACATACCCCCATCCTGACTTTTATTCATCAGTGTACCAATCATTACTTGAATTTATATTTTTTATTTGATTATCCATCTTATCATCTATCTCCCCCTACCTTCCCCCACTTCCATCCCACTGCCCACCTTCCCACCCCCTTGATGATAAACCTTCAGAAAGCACTAATCATCTGTGCTGAATCCCCAGAACCTGGTCACAGGAGGGACTCGTTAATCACCTGTGATTCAGTGAGATCTTGACCATATAATTTAATGGCCTGGTGCCCTTGGGAGGTCACATATTGCAGAATCAGATGAGGGGGATTGCCAGTGTCAAACATAAGATACCAAAACCTTTTTATAGAGTTATCCTCCCTACCCCTACATGCATTTCATGATTAAACAGAAGGCTGGTCAATTAGCCGGGCGCAGTGGTGAGCACCTGCAGTCCCAGCTACTCGGGAGGCTGAGGCAGGAGAATGGCGTGAACCTGGGAAGTGGAGCTCGTAGTGAGCAGAGATCGCGCCACTGCACTCCAGCCTGGGCGACAGAGCGAGACTCCCTCTCAAAAACAAACAAACAAACAGAAGGCTGGTCCTTCAGTCTGAAGCACTGGCCATCAGATGATTTTACAAATACCTGTAATTCCCCCATCTACCAGTAGAAGGTGCCCTACTCTCATTCCTAAGGGTTAAGAAATACCGGAAGGGGCATGCTTCATACTGACAACAGGCATGTCCTCTGGGGGAAGGAGTGGAAGAGGAGTGGGGAAGGGGGAACTGCCTATTTTTTCACTCTCTTACCGGCTTACATATTTAAGGAATTTTTATAATGTGAATATATTTGTATAAAAATAGTTTAATGCATCTATATACTTTTAATTTTTTTAATAGAGAAAGCACATTTACGACAGAATGGCCAGAAAGTCTGACTATATAAGTAATATTACTTAATTTTGTTCCAGATTGAACCGCCTTGATTACATCTTCTGAGGCATACTAAAACTGCAGGTTTATTCCATGAAACTCAGAGGCACAAATCATCCAAGGCAGTCTGTGAGAATGATGGAGTTGCTGCGTATCACTCCACTTCCATTGCAGTTTTGCACAGCACAACCAATTATGCCCTGAGGAGGGACAACACATTGAACGTATCATGTTAAGGTCACTGAACATATAATCTATTGTAATGTGACATCAATACATCATTTTATATATATTTACCTGTGTTTCCACCTGCAGATTGGCAACCATTGACACATAAACAAATGATTGCAATAAAGTATGGTAAGTGATTATAAAGGTATGTGAAGACTAGTATGAGAGCAAGGAATGTAGAGAATTTGCTCTAAGCCTCAGCTTCCCCACCAGTACCAGTGTGTAATAATTCCACCTTTGAAGGTTGCTGGGAGGAGAAATGACATAATGTCAGGGGGAGTCCCTGGTACTAACATTCATTGTAATGGGATATGTTGAATTCAGCTCTTTGAGGCTGGCTTCCCCAGGCAAGTGTGATCAAGGTTGGGAGGAGGAGTGGTTTAGAGCCAGACGTAGGACGGGTGAAGAGGCTGCTTCTGGGAATAGGGATGCTCATCAGCATAGGAATGAGAGAGCCAATAAACTAAGCAGTTGCAGGAAAGGAGATTGGGAGGAGGCGTCCAAGAATGCCTCCCTAGGGCTGGGTACCACAGCACAGACACACTTCCTTGTTTCTGCTTCATTTTTCCTCTGTATCTCTTTGTAAGCCTGTGATGGGATTTATCACTGGATACCTCTTTAGAATTTGTGTAGGTAGTACTGCATAACATACAGATTAGGCACTAGAGCCAGTCTACCTGGGTATGAGTCCCAGCTCTGTCATTTACTATTTTGTGATCTAAGTAACTCTCGAAATCTCTGCTTCCTCATTTGTAAAATGGGAATAATATTAGTACTTTCCTCAAAGGATTGTTGGAAGGATTAAATAAATACTTATGATAACCTTAGAAAAGTGACTAGCATATTTTATACTCTCAATGAATATTACATATTAAAATTCAATCAGTCACTTCATTCATTCATTCATTACCAATTTCATTTACTTTTTGGCTCTTTTATGAATTCTTATGGGTGCTTATCTACACCAGGTATTATGCTAAGTGTGGAGAATGTAGGGCTAAAGAAGACATGGTTTTTGCCCATGACAAGCACAAAGTCTAGGACAGGGGAGGAGAGACGTAGGCCAGACGACTTTAAGCCAAGTGGTCCAAAAAGACAATGAAGGGAAAGCATAGAGAGAAAAAAAGAGACCTCGTGTGTTTGGATGCAGTGATGTGGGAGGAAGATGGGGAAGGTTTTGCAGGAGAGGAAACATTTGAACTGAGCACTGGAGAGTGAATAAATATTTTCGTGGTGATAATTAATATAATACAACAATAAATAATATCCTATGCTGTATAACAAACCACATGAAAATGTGGTGACAAGACGACAACCAGTTCTATGGCCAGCAATTTGTGTTAGGCTCGGCTGGAGAGTTTTCTACTGAACTTCACTCCAAACTCAAATTTTAAAATAGATATAGGGATACTTTGGATATCTATTTCTTCCTCAATGGGTTTTGATAGTTTGTGTCTTTCAAGGAATTTGTTCATTTTATCTAAGTTGTCAACCTTTTTTTTTTTTTTTTTTTTTTTTTTGAGACAGGGTCTGGCTCTATTACCCAGGTTAGAGTGCAATGGCCCAATCTTGGCTCACTGCAACTTCTGCCTCCTGGGCTCAAACCATCCTCTCACCTCAGCCTTCTGAATAGCTGGGACTACAGGTGTGTGCCACCGTGCCTGGCTATTTTTTTTGATACAGACAAGGTCTTGCCATGTTGCCCAGGCTGGTCTTGAACTCCTGAGCTCAAGTGATCCTCCAGCCTTGGCCTCCCAAGACTACAGGCATGAGCCACCATGCCCAGCTAAGTTGTCAAGCTTTTTATGCATAAGTTTGTCCATAATATTTCTAAATTATTCTTCAAATAGCTATAGGGTCTCTTATTCCTGATATTAGTAATTTGTGTCTTTCTTATTTTTTGCTGATCAGTCTGGCTAGAGACTTATCAATGTTATTCATGTTCCGAAAGAACCCACTTTTAGTTACATTGAATTACTATTTTGTTTTTCTATTTTCTGTTTTATTGATTTATGCTGTTTGGTATTTCCTTTTCCATTTATTTTAGATTTTAGGTTTAATTTCTTCATTTCTTTCTTTTTTTATGAGACGGAGTTTTGCTCTTGTTGCCCAGGCTGGAGTGCAATGGCGCAATCTTTGCTCACCACAACCTCTGCCTCCCAGGTTCAAGAGATTCTCCTGCTTCAGCCTCCTGAGTAGCTGGTATTACAGGTGCCTGCCACCACGCCCAGCTAATTTTTTAGTTTTAATAGAGACGGGGTTTCTCCATGTTGCTCAGGCTGGTCTCGATCTCCCGACCTCAGGTAATCCATGGGCCTTGGCCTTTCAAAGTGCTGGGATTACAGGCGTGAGCCGCCGCGCCCGGCCTGGTTTAATTTCTTCACTTTTTGGCTGCCTAAGGTGGAAGGTGAGTTCATTGATTTTTTTCGTTTCTAATATAGACATTTTAGTGCTATAAATATTCCTCTGCTGCATCCTATGCATTTTTATATGCTGTGTTTTTAGTTTAAAATACTTTATAATTCTCTTTAAAAATTTCTCCTTTGACCCATAGGTTATTCAGAAGTCTTTTCTTTAGTTTCCAAATGTTTGGAGATTTCCAGATATATTTATGTTATTGTCATCTAATTTAATTTCTTTGCATTCAAAGAACATTGAGACTACTTATAATTTTTATTCTTGATGGATTGATTCTTTTATCATTCAAAAATATTCTTTTTCTTTAGTAACAATCTTTGGCTATTTTGTTTAATATTTGTATAGCCACTCCAGGTTTGTTATGGTTACTATTTGTATGGTATATAATTTGTATTCTTTTACATTTAACCAATTTCTATTCTATATTCAAATTTGATTTTTTGTAGCAGTATATAGTTGGGTCTTGCTTTTTTACCCAATCTGACAATAGCTGCCTTTTATTTGGGTGTTTGGGCCATTTACATTTAATGTGATTATTAGTATGGTTGGGTTTAATCTACCATATTGCTACTTATTTTTAAAATCTGTCTCAACTATTCTTTGTTCCCTTTTCTCCTTTTCTGCCTTCTTTTTCTATTAATTGAGTATTCTTTACTATTACATTGCGTTTACTTTGTTGGTTTGTTACTGATAACTGGGTTTTCTTGTTGTTTTCTTTTTTTTTTAGATGGAGTCTCACTCTGTTGTCCAGGATGGAGTGCAGTGGTGCGATCTCAGCTCACTGCAGCCTCCACCTCCCAGGGTCAAGAGATTTTCCTGCCTCAGCCTCCCAAGTAGTTGGGATTACAGGTATGCACCACCACACCCAGCTAATTTCTGTATTTTTAGTAGAGACGGGGTTTTGACATGTTGGCCAGGCTGGTCTCAAACTCCTGACCTCAGGTGACCTGCCTGCTTCAGACTCCTGAAGTTCTGGGATTACAGGCGTGAGCCACCATGGCCAGCTTGTTTTCTTTTCTTTTTCTTCTCTTTCTTTTTTGAAACAGGGTTTCACTCTGTCAACCAGGCTGAAGTGCAGTGGCACCATCTCGGCTCACTGCAACTTCTGCCTCTCAAGTTCAAGTAACTCCCCTGCCTCAGTCTCCTGAGTAGCTGGGACTACAGGCATGTGCCACCACGCCTGGATAATTTTTTTTTTTTTAAAGTAGAAATGGGGTTTCACCATATTGGCCAGGCTGGTCTTGAACTCTTGGCCTCAAGTGATCTACCCATCTTGGCCTCCCAAAGTACTGAGATTGCAGGTGTGAGCCACCACGCCGGCCTTCTTTTCTTTTACTGGTTTCTTTAGGTTTATAATACAGATCTTTAACTTGTCACAGTCTATCTTCAATTAATATTTTATTACTTCATGTATTATATAAGAAATTTACATCAGTGTTTTTTTTTCCTTCCTGGCCATTGTGTTATTATTTTCATACATTTTACTTCTACAATGTTGCTATTATTTTTGCTTTAAATGTAGAGGATGCCACCACTGAATTTCTTAGTGATGTTGATGCCTCTGTCACTACTCATTTCTGATGGCCTTGGTGAATGGTGGGTGGGTCCCCTGGGCCCTCTGAGGGAACACAATCCTTTGGAAGATGTCTCCTGGCCCCTCATAATATGTCAACCCCAGCACGCCCATTTCCCTGAGCCTTTTAATTCTTTCCTCTATCATGCAGCATAGGAATTCAGCCATTTCAACTGTACTTAGCGTAAGTCATCACTTCTTCCAGATGTTTGGAGCCACTAAGCCAGTTTGCACCAGCTCTCAGGATCCTCACCTGGGTATTAAATCTCGTATCACAAAAGAATGGCCCCAAGTCAATAAATTCTTCATTGTTTAGGCTCCTGTTATGGCTTCCTTGATTAAGCACCCTCAAATCCACTCCCAGAGTTCTCCCGTGATCCTGCTGTCACATGATCCTAGTTTTTCGGATCCTTTGGACTATAGTCTCTTTATTTCTTTATCAGATATGGCACATCCCCAACTGAGTTACACTGCAACTTAACATGACATCAGCCTGGAGGCCAAGAGAAGAGGCAGAAATAAATCCTGAGTAGGGCCCCTGCTGCAGGAGAGAGAATTCTTCAGTGTCTTCCCATATGGGATAGGAGGTGGGGAGAGAAGTTACTGGATCTTAATAGGAAGGAGGCCAGGCCTGTCTATGGGCTCTGAGGGTCCAGAGGAGTTTGGAAGTCAAAACGTTTGAGGGCATCCACCCAGATGTACCCAATCCATATTGCCTGGGATAATATGGGATGAGGATGGGTTCAAGGCAGCTGGATGGTAAGTGATTCAACCCCAAATCCCTAATTTACTGACCGCTTTTTTTTTTTTTTAAGAGATGGGGTCTTATTGTGTCATTCAAGCTGAAGTACAGTGACACAATCATAGCTCACTGCAGCCTTGAACTCCTGGGCTCAGGCAACAAGCAGTACAGAAAGCCTGCATTTAAACACTGGCGACACAGAGACCATCATTGGCTGCATTACATCAGCACCAGTGATACAGACAACTGTCACTTTTCTTCTTCTCTCTCTGCTCCAACTCTGAGGGATCTAGCAACTCCCCAGTTCGGGGAAGGAAGGGAAGGAAGGTGAGAGATGGACAGTGCCTGCTCTGCAGGCGTAAGTAAGGCCTGCGCTGCACCCAGGGGAGAAGCTTTGAGCTGGATGTGAGGTTGAGGTTTCTATTTAGATTCTACTTGTCTCCTGAGTTCAGAAAATGAGGCAGAGTTGTCAAAATGGGATTAGTCAGCACAAGCGACAGGAAAGCTAATGGGATTTGTTTGAGGTTATTTTAAGGGACAAAGGCTGAGGAACCATCAGAGTGTGTATAAAGGCAGAGAAGGTTCAGGTTGAGTTAACAGCGCTGTGGCTGGCGGAAGGACGCATTTGCTCCTGGCCACAAGAGGAGCGTGGAGCCCCATGTGAGCAGAGGCTGGGCCACCCCCGGGACCAGCTCTGCCAGAGGGTTCCAGCAAAAACTGTGACGTCCCCTCTCACTCTGATGCATGTAGAGAGGCCTGAAAAGTTTGCCCAACCACACAGAGAATGTTTGAAGCCTTCTGTGACCAGGAGCTACCTCCCAAGGCAGCCTCATCTATTTTTGGACATCATGTTAGAAAGTTTTCCTAAACTGGCTTGAAATGTTTCCCTAGTTTTGCATCTACAGCCTTGCAGATCAAGCCCACTCCCTTTGGACATTGAAACACAGAGAACATGGCCTCCTCAAATTTATTCCCTGCTCCAGAAGGTCACGGCCACAGCCTCCTCTCTCCTTCACCACCTTAGGTGCAACAGCAGTCAGGTAGAGTCGGTGCTGTGTGATCGCACTTATTTAACATTTATTTTGAGTTAGGGTGTGAGTGCTGGGGCAGGTGACTAACCATCCCCTGCCCTCTGTGGTGGCCTGAGAGAGAAGCAGGAATGCCCCGTGCAGGTTGGGGATCAGCAAACAGTCTAGACCAGCTTCTCTCCTGTATCCCGTTTGGAGAGTCCCTGGGTCAGGGGCCAGTCCATCCTGCAGCATTGAAGGGCGTGAGGAATGAGCAGGGCTGTGGGGCTCACAGAGCAGGCAGCTCTGGGGAGAAGCGGCCAGGGAATGTGCAAAAGTGATCAAGTCATAGGACAGGGTGGACCCAGCCCCAACCTGGGGGAGAGGAGAGGGGGATGTGCTGGAGCCTGGAGGTCCATGTCTGGCAGCCTTGGGAGATGGAGAGGGTTTCCCAGGCCGGACAGCATGGGCGGGGGGTTCATTCCATGGTGAGCTCTCCCTGCTCCGTGTTGTCCAAGTTTGTACGGGAGGCCACCAGCGCCCTTCATTCGGCTACATCGATGGACAACATGGCCTTGATTGCAGGGAACTTGTTGCAGGAGAAGTCGGCGAGCAGTTGCTTGGTGCCACTCCGGGAGGGCAGGATATCAAAACGGACCCGGGACCCCTCCTTGGGCCCTAGGGTCGGCACGCTGATGGGGAGGGCACAGATCAGTGTTGATACGAGACACACGGACCTTGGGCTGGACGGGCCTCCTGTGACCTCCTGTCCTGTTCTGATGGAGGCTGGGCAAGGCCACTGCTTCTTTAGCTCCCTCTAGCTGTCTCTCTGGGTTACGGGGCCCCTCCAGCCCTGGAACTCTTCAGCAGGGGAAGCAGGAGGGGGGGGTCCCATGATCTCCCAAATATTCTAAGCCCTGAAGGCCAGCTCTTAGCTCTGGTGACCTGTTCTTCTCAGGAGTTCAAGTTTGGTGAACCCCCAAACCAAATGCAAAAGCAGATTCTAGAGTTCCAAGACCCCCAAAAGAGTAAAGAACCCAAGGTCAGAGGGAGCTCTGTCTGTCCCACCCAGGGGATCTGGAGGGCCCCCCCGCCCCCTCCCGCCCTCCTGCACCGGCCACTTAGGCCCAGGACTCACTCGATCTTCAGGTTACCCAACAGCAGGCCGCTTCCCTCCACCATCAGCACGCAGTCCCTCACCGGCTCATCCAGTGGATTGGAGAAGAGCATCTGCACGTTCACAGGCTTCCGCACACGAGCCTCGTTCAGCACCTATGGGGGAGAGGGGCTGCCGAGTCAGGACTCCAGCTGCTCAGCCCCTGCCTGCACCTTGGTGAGGGCTGGGCAGGGTGACTGAGTGAAGGGGGTGATGTCACTGAGGATGAAGAAGGGGAGACCATTTAGCCCTCCTAGGTGCCAGGCACATTGTGTCTGACGCCCCCTGCCCCCCAATACACAGGATGGTCCCAGGACATTATCCTGTGCTGTGGATGAGAACCTCAGCTTTGAGGGGGAAGGGGCCCCCTGCAGCAGCCAACAACACTGTTACTTCCCTGCCCCGACTCCAGTTCAGACCCTGCTTCCCAGGACAGCCCAACCCCACTGTGGGCTCTGTGAGGGTCAGGACATTTTTCATGCTGAATTTATTTTTTGCAAGGACAGGGTCTTGCTGTGTTGCCCAGGCTGGCCTCGAACTCCTGGCCTCAAGTGATCTTCCTGCCTTGGCCTCCCAAAGCACTGGGATTACAGATGTAAGTCACTGTGCCCAGCCACTTGCTGGGTTTAATATTACTTTCCTTGGCTTTCCTGCTTATGGGTCCTGTTTCTTCCCTTAAAGCTTGAACCTCCGTCTCTGGGAGGCCCCACAGGTGTTGAAAAGGGCAGCCCCAGGCCCCACAGCTGCTCACACCCTGGCTCACACTGTAGCTCCCTTAACTCTTTTTCCAGGGGTTGGGTCCCCCCAGCTCAACCCAGGCTACTCTCCTCTGCTGACACCCCAGTCTACCAATGTCCTTCTAAACTTCTAGAGCCCAGAGGTTCCCTGTGCACCATTTATAGTCTGA